>NC_000012.12:109732855-109884370 GCF_000001405.40 Homo sapiens
CCATCTGCCACCCTGAGTGCCTACTGTGTGCCCCATCGTGCAGACACAGTAGAACCGGCACTCCAGTGGAAGAGACAGACACTAAACCATTCATCAAGATAATTTCAGAGCAGTAATGACAATGAAAGAACTGCTGTGGTGATGGGACAATGGCCAGGGCAGAAGGTTGCCAGCTTGACCAGGTGGTCAAGGAGGGTCTCTCGGAGGAGGTGATGTTTGAGCTGAGGTGTGAATGGGGAAATGGAGCTGGCATGGAGAGTGGGAGAGTGGTGTGTACTGGGGACAGTGTGGTGTTGCACTGTCCACAGGTGGCATTGAACATTTGCAGTGAGGCAAGTCTGAACTGAACTGAGATGTAAAATCCATCCCAGGTTTCAAAGACTTAGAATAAAAACAAGAACATAAAATACCTCAGGAATTTTTAAATACTGATTACACATTGAAGTGATACTATTTTGGATCTATTGGGTGAAGTAAAATATATTATTAAATTTAATTTCCTCTTACTGCTAGAAAATGTACAATTACATATGAGGCTCCCATTATTACATTTTTTTTTTTTTTGAGACGGAGTCTCGTTCTGTCACCCAGGCTGGAGTGCAGTGGCGTGTGATCTCAGCTCACTGTAAGCTCCGCCTCCCGGGTTCACGCCATTCTCCTGCCTCAGCCTCCTGAGTAGCTGGGACTACAGGCACACGCCACCACGCCTGGCTAATTTTTTGTATTTTTAGTAGAGAGGGGGTTTCACCGTGTTAGCCAGGATGGTCTCGATCTCCTGTCCTCGTGATCTGCCCATCTCGGCCTCCCAAAAGTGCTGGGATTACAGGTGTGAGCCACCACGCCCGGCCCCCATTATTACATATTTCTATCAGACAGCACTGGTATAGGGTATTTAGGTAGAGGCAAAACCATAAGTGCAAAGGCCCTGGGGTGGGGACAGGGTTGGCTTGTGAGAGGACCAGAAAGCAAGCCAGCGTGTCTGAGCAGGATCAGCCTGGGACAGGGACAGTGCAGATAGACATTGGGAAAGGGATTCACAGAGGTCCTTCAAGGATATTGTTAGAAAAGCCACGGAAGACTGGCGGGATGGCTCATACCTATAATTCCAGCACTTAGGGAGGCTGAAGTGAGAAGGTTGCTTGAGGCCAGGAGTTCAAGACCAGCCTGGGCAACATAGCAAGATCCCACATCTACAAAAAATAATAATTAGCTGGGTGGGGTGGTGCACAACTGTAGTCCCAGCTACTTGAGAGGTTGAGGCAGGAGGATCACTTGAGCCCAGGAGGGAGCTGCAGTGAGCCATGATCATGCCACCGTACCCCAGCCTGGGTGACAGGGCAAGACCCTGTCTCCAAAAAAAAAAAAAAAAAAGCTATGGAAGCCACTAGGTGAGCTCTACGCAGGAGAGATGTGCGCTACACACAGAAAGGCTTGGTCTGGCTCCCTTGAGGTGGAGATTGACGGCAGGGGGGCGATGGGGCACAGGGACGGGCAGGAATCTGTTGTAGAAGAGTTGCTGCCGGGACCTGCTGGTGAATTGGCTCCACCGGATCCGGCTCCGCAGAAAGCTCACTGCTTCCTGTGGCTCCTGGATTTCCAAGCCTCTGGGGTTTCCTGTCTCTCCCGGCACCCGTCTCCACCTCCCCAGCAGCTGTTCCCTGTCATGTCGGTGCATTTACAATGAGCGCCAGTCGCCTGTCTCCAGGTGGTCAGAGGTTGAAATCCCTTTTGAAAAGTTCTTTAAAAAAAAAAAAAAAGAAAGAAAGAAAAACCAGAAGTCATGCATGTTCATTGTGGAAAAATTAGAAATACAGAGAAGCACAAAGAAGAAAAGGAAAATTCCCCAGTTAACCGTCAGCCGCTAGGCTATGACAGGGGGAGGGGGTTGAACCCAGGTGGTCTGGCTCCAGCACTTTCTAAATCACAGTGCCTGTGGCCGGATGACATGGAGGGAGCTCCCTGACCATAGGAGGGGTTAGAGACACGACGCCCCTCTACCCTCACTCACAGCAGAGGTGGAAAGCTGGAGACTGACCCACACATGGGTGGTGAGTGGCGTTTGACTCTTGGAGATTTAAATAAAACAAACATTGAGAGAGCTTATGAACTCTGGGATGTGGAGTGGTGGCGCTGTCATTTGGGCCGAGTGTCCTGTCCTGTTTCCTAACCCCTGCCTCGAAGGCTCCATTCATTTCTGCCCCAGCCTGACCCCCAGAAGCATCTACTGATCTTAGCATTGGGCTAAAAGCTAAGGCCAGCCCTTGCCAGCCACTTTTGTCCACTCTCCTCCCCCGACCTGGGCCACTGCGTCTTCTAAACACTCTTGGGTCATTCTTGCACAAGGACCCAGTCTTCTTCCTCCCCGTCCCTTGGGGCCTGAATCCTCAAACCCTGTCTGGCCCAGGCCAACCTCTTCCGTGGGGCTTTCCTGCCTGCTCCACCAACCAACCCCGTGGTCCTGGACAGCTCCCTTCCCTCTCTGTTTCCTCGTGGGTACAACGCCAATCATGTCTTTCTCCCGGTTGTGGCGTGGGTTACGTGAGGTGACGTCTGTAAAGTACTGAGCCTGTGGAGAACACTAAAAATAAAAGCTAGCTCTTATTGCTCTTACTATTAGATTTTTCTCCTTCCCCGTTGCCTGCTTTAACCCTGAACTGTGGGTGCAGGGACTGGGGGAATAGGTGGGAGGAAGGCTAGAGATACCGGGCCCCTCCCATCTCCACTGTGGGTCTTACCTTTGCCCGTTGCACACAGTGTTCCGTCTTCCGGGATCCCAGTGTCATCTGGTGGCATCCCTCCTTCCCTCTTTTGGTCTCCATTTCCATGTTGTTTCTCCAGAGAGATTCTATGACCACTTCCAAAAAAAACTGGGCGGGGGGCTTTCGGCTGAGCTCACAGCCCCATTATGACATCGTAGTACTGAAGCTGTTCAGTATCGATTCTCAGATCTCCCCACTCATTCTTTGCTGGAAGGTGATGACGGAGTCTTACTTGACTGACAATTTTCATTAAAGAGCCGAGGCTGGAACTAGGAGAACAGAGGCTCAGCCTGCCCCTGGCTCCAAACTTTGCACCTTGGGATCCCTGGCTCTCTGGGAAGAGTGAAACTGCCCTTCAGAGGTCCATGGCTCTGGGAGAGGGCCAGCCAGGCCTGTTGCCAGTGGCAGTGACTGCCCCTCCTTCTGGCACCTTCTCTGAGTCCCTGTCCTGAACTAGCACTAGTGCAGAGGAAACAGATCTCCCCGCTCTGAGGTTGGGGGGGTCCCTGCCTGGCCCTGCATAGGTGAGGTGCTCTCAGTGACTCACCAGGAGGGTTTGCTCTCCAGCAGCCTGGAGCTCCTTCATGTTCTCTGTTTGCTCCTCTCTCTCAAGTCTCCATGTGGTGGCCTGTGCAGTCCCTTCTGTGGGATCCTTCCCTTCCCCTAGCTTTTTCCTACTTACCTGTTGATAGCGACCATAAACAATGCTAACAACGGGTACCACTTAGGCAGCTACCACAAGGACCCTGGCACTTTGTTGTAAGGAATTAACCCCTTTTGCAGACGCAGAAACTAAGGCTCAGAGAGGAGGGAGGGATTTGCCTAAGCTCACAGAGTTAGGGTGTAAAGCTCAGACATCCGGATGTGAAGTCGGGGACAGACACTGTCGCTCTGCTAATGAGGCAGCTGGTGTGTCCTTACATCATGACCCCCCCAGGCCAGGTAGGGTGACCCCAACATGGCCACCGCTTGTCTCCCTGCCTTGTAATTACCCCTCTGATGCCTCCCATCCACTCAGGGTCTGTCACTGCCCCAGCATCTAGCACAGGGCCTGGCCTGGCACATAGTTGGTGTTTAATCTGTCATGCCGTCCCCAGTGGTTGGAGTGCTGACGGAGGCACATCGCAGTTGTCAGTTCCCATGGCGACTGACATCACTATGCTCTCAGGCTGTACCCCGCCCCTTTCTCCAGGGCTCTTGCGCCGGGAGCTGGCCGTGGTGCTGACAGGCCCAGGAATGGCCACCTACCCCCAGACCCCAGCTGTGTGTCCCAGTAGGACACTTCCTGAGGCCCACCCTGCCCCAACTCCCTAGGACAGCCTCTTGCCCATCCTTTGTTCAGGAGACGTTTTCCTGAGGGCCCTGTGCTCAGGCACTGCTGTAGCACCGTGAACCCATAGAGGAAGGATCAAGGAGAGCCACATGGGACTCCAGTCATTTGACGATTCATCAAACATTTATTATGTACCTTGTATGTCTTGGAGAAGCCCTCAGGAACCCGGACTCCAATTGAAGGTCGAGTTGAGTTTTAAGGGGTAGAGAGCCAGAAAGGGCTTTTGAGCAGTCCTTCTGCTCAAAAGTCCTTCCTGGCTCTTGGGATTGCATGGGCCAAAGCCTGCAAGTGTGCAGGTGAGAGTCTTGTGCAGAGGGAAGCCCACCTCAGGACTCTGGCTGCCAGCCAGAATTGGTGATTGTCACTTTACTTTTTGGTCTCCCCTTTGGCTCAGAACTGCCAGCATCTCTGGCTCTAGTGCCCAGCCCAGAACCAGGCACAATGGAGGGGTGTTGGAGCCAGGCAGGGGACTGGCATCTTTGTCCTAGAAACCAAAGAGCCAGGTATGCTCTGTGACAAGATTTGCAGCATTTTAGAGAGCCCCTGGCCTGCTGGGGTGGGGACAGATACAGTGGTAATTCTGGCAGAAGATGAGGCCTCCTATTCAAGGGGACAGTACCTCCCCAGCCCCCAACCTTAAAAAAAAAAAAAAAAGGTAAAAATCCCCTTCTGGTGCTGAGGCCCAAATGGCAGTGGGAAATAATCACTTTTCACAGGCCCCTTATCCACAGCCAAGCCCTGTGCCAGTTTAATCAGCAGTGCCGGTGTGACTTGAAGAATCCCCGGCTTGAGAGATCAGGAGAGGGGTTAAAGAAAATTACCCTCGCCTCCTCCATGCTAATGTAATCTCTAACCAGATCTGCCTAGCCGCAGCTCAAATTGCTTTTTAGATTAACATTTAATTATTAACAGGGTCCCTTGGAAGGCCTCCGGCTCAGAACAGAGATGGGGGAGGGAGCGGCAGGAGGGAGGTGGGGATGGGCTTCTACTCTGGCTGCCTTGCTGAGACAAGCGGGGTGGGAGAGAGAGGAAGGAGCAAGGGAAGAGGGGTCAGGAAGGGAGAAAGAGAGAGAGACAGCAGGAAGGAGAAGGGAGGCATCAGGACAGGAGGCAGGTGGAGCTAAGGACAGGGATGTAGACAGAGGAGAGGAAAGAGACAGACAGTGGATCTTCCTGTCGTGGGAGCCCCTAAGGGGGTTGGGGGAAGCTTGCACCTAGATTCCTGAGGACATTCCTGGGCTGGGCAAGGGTCCCTCCACTCTTCCTGGCCAGAAGCAGGTTTGCTGCCCCTCATTATTTAGAGAGGTCTGGACTTTCTGAGGCTTTCTACTTGCTCAGCTCGTGGTGCTGGGGACCAACACAGAGAAGTGACCCATTTAGGGCCACACCACCAGGGTCTGACCCTAGTATTCCCAATCCAGCATTCATTCTCTTCCCCGGGCCCTGGGCCTCTCACCACCATTTCAGGCTCCTATCTGCCTTTGGAGCAGGCTGTGTGGCCAGGCAGCGTGAAGAGACTTGAATTACAGCCAGAGGGATGGAGGTGAGAACTGTGGGAGGGCTCCCTCACCACCCACCTATCCTGCCACCACCCCCAGGAAGGCTGCGAGGCCCTGAGGAGTGGCCAGCATCTCATTCACTTCCTGAAAGGGAATTCAGAGTCTGAACCATCTACTCTACTCCTTGCATGATGAACTGCTGGGTTTTGCCAGCTTCCTATCTTGTCCCTGCTCGAGATTCTAAGTCCCTCAAAGACAATGGCTACGTCTAGAGCCCCTTTGTGTGCCCACAGTTCAGGGACTGCCCCACACCTTGTACACAGCTGGATTAAGTTTGGAAACCAAATGATCACATCCTCTTATGTCCAAGTTAGATGGCCCTCATACTATCAGCTGGTCCACTCCCCATAAAGGTTCATTTGGGAAACAGACTCAGAGAGGTGCTGTGACTTCCTCCAGGTCACCCAGCCAGTGAGAACCCCAGTGCCTGGCCCCTGCCTGGCAGGTACAACCCAGAGGCCTCTGGGGCCAGCTCTCTTCTCTGAACTAGTCCTGTTGGACACCAGGAAGGGCCTGGCATGACCTTCCCCTCCAGGTCACAGCTAGGCTTTGGCCTTGAATGGAGCCACAGAAGCCAGGTGGGTAGCTCTAGGGATTGGAGGTAGAGGAGGAGATGGGGGCTCAGAGGCGCAGCCCATGGCTTTCCCGGGGTCACAATCTCAGGGCCCTGCCGTGAAGCCAGGTGTGTCCTCCTCCTATTCTGCCTTGGGGTCAACCCAGCCTGGCAAGGGGCAGACTGCTGACCTGTGGACACGAGGGAAAGTTCCAGATGCCTGCCACATCAGGAAAATGCTGGAGGCAGAGAGAGGTCAGGAACATTCATTTTTATTGGGAGGTCAGTTCTGGCTAGATGTTCCTTTCTGGCAGGACACTTTGAGTCATTTCCGTCCTCCCAGTACATGGCACAGGGCTGGCCCTCAAAAGATGCTTGGGAAGTGTTTGCTGCCTAAATGAATGAATGGGTGGGTAAGAAGCAAGGCCTGGGCTTTACTCATCTCAGTGTTGTTCTGCCCAATGCTGGCCTCCTGATTTGCGCTCCTTGAATGTTTATGGGATGAATAAGTGGCCTCTGGGAGCCCTTCCCCTCCTCTCACCCCTTCCTTCTGTGATCCCAGCCCCTCCCACAGTAGAATCAAAATGGATTTGGGCCCTGGGGAGAAGCAGACCCTTGCTTCCATCCCTCCCTGCCCAGTTGACTGGGAGCTGAGGGCTGACGGGCCCCCAACCACGATGGAGCTGCTGTACAGTGTGGGGCTGAGGGACTGACTGGCATTGGCATCCTTGGGCTCTGCTATCTAAAAGCTATGTGACCTTGCACAGATGGCCTTCCCTCTTTGTGGCCATTTCCTAAGCTGTGAAATGGAGCCACAGAGGCCACGAGGAGGAGGCGCATGGGCTTGGTACAGAGGGCAGTCAATACATGCTCACCACCGTTAAGAGCCCAAATTGCATGTTGCTCTTTCAGAGCTTCCCCTCCCACTGGCCCGTGGGCTCCCTGACGCCCCCTGCAGCCAGACAGGCGAGGGCGAGATGACAAAAGGCAAGCAGGGCCCAAGCCCCCAAATCCCTGTTCTTTTCATAAAAACAGAGACAGCCTCCTCCCATTCATTGTTCTGCTAAGGCGAGCATCACAGACTCAATTCCTCCTCGGACCTGAAAAGTTCCTTCCTTCCTTTCCCCTCCCCTGTCACATTTCCTTTATCTAAATCCTCAGCTATGAAAGGACACATCGACAGCTGGGGGCGTTATCTGGTGGAGGGGACCTTTTCCTCGGGTGTCTCCGAGATAAGGCGTCTTATCAGCCCCCATGTCAGGGAAGGTGCCAAGCATTCTAATCATTGAGGCATGCGACGTTTTTCCCCTCCCTGCCCCCCCTTTTTTTATTAAAGTCACAAAAGACCTTGAGCTTATAAACAGTCTGATTTGCAGATAGGGTTTCAAAATGAACAGTGCTCCCTGGATGGTGCTTGGCCAGGGGGGTAATGAGTCCAGGCGGGGACTCTGAGAGGCTGGCCTCCTGCAGATGGGATGATGCCAGGCAGGGAGGGGGCAAGATGGGGTCACAGAAAGAACATGAGTGTTTTAGGCACATGCCCCAGTCCTGTCCCTGCCTTGCTGTGTGACCTTGTTTGGGACGCTTGGCTTCTCTGGGCCTAGATCACTTTATCTGACAATAACCAATTCATTGATTCGGCCATTCATTCAACACCTATCTAGTAAATGATTACTCTTGCCAGGCACTGGGGAGAGACAGACAAATAAGACACGGTCCCTACCCCTAAGAAACACAGTCCAGCGGAGGGAGAGAGATGTGAAAATTGGCAATTACACCTTGGTGTGATTAGAGCAGAGATGGTGGATATCTAGAGGAAGGGAAGGGTGAGCCAGGGTCTGAAGACAGATCTGAGTTCGAACGGATCAGGGTCACGGTGCCGTAGGCAGGAGAACCAGCAGGGGCAGAGGTCTGGAGGTGTGAGGCAGCCTGGCTGGAAGGAGGGCCAGGGGGAGCCAAGAGGGAGATGAGGTGTGGTGGGCAAAGAGGGCTGGGCTCCACGCCGGGGCCAGAGAGGTTTTAAGGCCAAGGAGGGGGATTTGACCGTCTTGGTTGCAGATGATGGGGATGATGCAGGAGTTGGAGGTGGTGGTCCCCTCCCCACTTCCCTCCTAGGACACCCCACCACCCTGCCATGTGCCCCCAGTGGCAGGACACAGGGTTCCTGGGAGAATGGGCAGTGAGTTGGGAGAACTGGGGTTGCAGAGAGAAAAAAGTCCCTCCTCTTTAAGTGAAGAGCATCTCTCAGGCTGCCTGTAGCCCTCCAGAAGCAAGGAATGGGAGGATGTAGGCAGCTGCCCTGGCAAAGCTGAGCCAAAGCTGAGGCCTACACTTGGACACCATCACACCCTGAAAACCCCTCCCAGCTCCCAGAACTGCCTGGCATCCACCATAAGAGCACGCTGACAACTAGAGCCCTGCTGGGAAGGGAGCTGATGGGGTCCCAGGAGGCTCCAGAATAGGCGACCTGCCCCTTCCCCAACAATTGCAGCCCCCAGCCCACCCTTTTTCAACTGCAAAGCATGTGGGATGTATGGCCCAAGGGACATTAGGGCACCTAGAGAAGGGCTGGACTTCTGGACCCCAGTAAAAGGCTGGAGATAGGGCCGGGCATGGCCAGGACTCTGGAAGAAAGTGACCTGGAGGTACCCACAGGGATCATGGAGCCACTGTTACAGGCCAGAGAGGGTCATTAACCCAGCCGGGGTCACACAGGGTGTGCTGGGAGGCAAGGAGGTTCCAGCCTTCCAGCCCAGGTTTCCACAGGGCACCAGCCTCTGACCTCCCTCCTTACTGGCCTGGGTGCAGCCAAGCTCAGTGGTGAGGGGGTAAGTGCACCCAGCCACTCCCTGCCTGGCAGGCCACTGCTCCCTGTGGCTTGGGTTTCCCATTTGTGGAGGGAGAGGTCTTGGACTGGCTTTCTCCGGATCTCCCTCCTTTCCCCCAACCCCTATGTCAGAGCGGCTAGAGATGGACTCTGCCCTGGAGCAGGGGCCACAGAAAGAGGCTGGGGCAGGGTGAGGGAGGTTGCCACAGGCCTCTTACCTTCCAGATTGCACATGATTGTGAGTCTCCATAGACCATCCGACTGTGCGTAAGAGGGTGCCTGTAAGTGCAGAGGAACATGCCATGCAGCAAACACATATGTACATAGGTGAGTGTGTACCAGGGTGTGTGTGCACACCCAGCCCTCCCTGTGCACATGCACGGCGTGTCCTCCAGGGCTGGTGTCCAAGGCTGTGGTGATGGCAGGCCCGAGTCAGGCCTGCTCCCGCCACCTGCTCACATTCCAAGTCCCCGAGGAGAGGAGCAGCACTGCCTTCCTGCAGTCAAGGACTTTCATCCCTGCAATAAGCCCCACTTCATTCCCTTTTTAAACTGTATAATTTCTGCCTGATTGTAATGGCCTATTTTAAAATTACCAGAAATCAAAGCCGGGAAGTGGATACTGCAGCTTTTATTGCGTCTCTGTGTTAAGGCTGGCGATTGGGGAGGGGGCGGTGAGAATCACCTCCCCTCCCCTCCATCCTCCACTCTCTCTCTCTCTCGCTCTTTTTTTTTTTTTCTTGAGACAGTAATAGGAGAAAATTGGTTTTGAAACTGAATAAAAGTCCCTTTCAGAGGAAATCATTTCTTTCAGGGTACCTTTGCTGAAAGTAAAATAGGGCATAATGAAAGGTGGTTACGCGATTGTCTTTCATTTACCGAGAGGCCAGGACAGACGGGAGGCTGCAACCGTCTCCGGGAAATACAAGATTGGAATAATTGCGCCGTAACAAGGAGCTTGTTGTGAAATTAGTATCTTAAGAAAGTAGTGAAAAAAGGCTTTTCCTCATGAATACTTCATTATTAGAAGAAAGCGGCAGAATTTAGGACTCCAGACACCTGTTTAGTATTAAATAACTTCCCTTTCTTCCCCTTCAACACCCCCTCTGCTTTCTTCTTCTTTTTTAAAACCAACATGAAGATTGAGGTGATCCAGCTTGGCTGCTCAGGACTGTGGGAGGTCAGGAAGTGGTGGGGACAGGGTGCCCGGGAAGATGGACATCAGGGGTGTCCGGGGTTGAGCTCACCCTGAGACCTGCCTTCTCCTTAGCAAGAAGGGAGGAAGGGACCTCTAGGTAAGCTCCCACCGCCACCCTCCCATTGGGGCCTCACAGGCAGGCCCACTCTGACCCTGCCAGTCAGGGGCTTTGGGCTCTCAGGAATGTGCCTGGGCCTCCTGAAACGTTCTCTGCAGGAGAGTGGGTTTGGGGAAGCTGAAGGCAAGTGTCTGTGTGAATGTCAGGCTCTGGCCGTTGGGGAAGGTACCACACGGGCCTGTGTGCAGCCACATCTGAGCTGCTGCCCTGCGGGGCACAGATCTCTGCCCTTCCCATTCAGGGTAAGGAGCTCAGGCAGCGACAGGGATCTCGGGTCAGGGCAGCCTTGATGGCCCATTGGGGCTGGGCTCAGGGTGCAGCATGGATCAAGGTTCAAGAGCCCCTTGTTCTCTCAGGAAAGCCATCCTGACATCTCCCCTCCAGGGGGGCTATGAGGATGCCCTGGGCGGGAGACAGACCAGTACTTCAGTAACCTGGGACACCCATGTACCCACTGGCATTTCCCGAGCACCCCTCTGTGTAGATGCCCAAGATGACCAAGTGGGGTCTTCAGGCTGACTTGCTTACAGGGGGCCACCACCGGCCGGAAGCACAGCCTGCTGCGGGGCACGGAGGGAGTGAGGATCTCACCCAGTTGGGGGCATCAGGGCAGGCCCCAGAGCAGATGACCCAGATGCCGAGCAGGGCCGGGGCATGTGTGATCCATCAGTCCAGCCCCCACTCAAGAGCCCTGGATTCTGTCCCTTCCCATGAGGCCACAGATGGGCCTCTTGATGCCTCAGGCCTTGGTCCCCTCATTGGTCGAATAAGGGAAATGGGTGTCTGCTTTGAGAGTCTCTGATGTTCTTCGGGGTTGCAGGGAGACTCCCGGGGGGAATGGTGGGAGGCGAACACGGAGCAGCCCCCAAGTGACAGAGCACCCCATCTTCCTCCTGCAGGGACCCAGTCGCAGAGCGCACCCCACTGGGGACCCCCAGCTCAGCCATGCTGGCCTGTCTGCAGAGGACCCAGAACGCCCCGGGCCAACACCTGGCCTGCCCGAGCAAGAGCCTGGAGCTGCGCAAGTGTGAGTAGGACGCCTCCCCAGCCTTTGCAGGGCAGGTCGTGGGCAGAGAACGCCATTCACCCCCCAGGATGTCCACCTACCATGGCCCTGTCGGAAAGTCTCTATGCTCTCTTAGGCCCCCAGGCCTTGGCCCCGGCTGTGCTGCCTTCCTGGTCTCCATCCCCAAAATGACACCCACTCCTTTGGCCAGCTCCTGTGGAGCAAGACTCTCAACTCTGGCTTGACCTCCTTCCCAGCAGCCTCTTCTGACCACCACCATCGCCATGCCCCAACCCCGCCTCTGCAACTTCACCACCATTATCTAGCCATGTGTGTCTCCCTTACCACCATTAAAGTAGGATGACGTGGAAGCAAAAAATAGACAGAATGGGGTCCCCGCTTGAGGCCCATGAGCTGTGTGGTCTTGGGTGTTTCCTTCCCTCTCTGGCCTTGCTTTTTCACTGGGACCTAGACCTGGTGACCAGGGGTCTGTTCTCACTATCTAGGACCAGGATCTGAAACGCTCTGATTTGGTTATTTTTAGCTATCATAATTTCTTTTTTAATGAAGTACTTAGAAACGGAGATTTGCATTAAAATATGGATTTCTACTATCTCTTGAAAAAAACAAAAACAGAGGCTCTGGTAACATAGGCCTGTGTGCCTGTATTGCAGCTATGGTTAGAGCTGAATGACTGCCTCTTTTAAAGGGATGTCTGTCTCCAGGTCACCGCGGTCCCCACCCCTCCCTATTGCTTCTGTGCTATAGCCCAGGATCCGTTGCCATTTAGCATGATGCTTACAATGTGAAAATATTTTTTTTCTTTTAAATATTTATCTTTAGACAAGGGAACATATTCATGTTATGCAACACTTGGAGGAAGGAAGGGGTATATAGACAAAAGCCTCCCTCTGGGCCAGCCACCCGCTTCCCTCGCAGAGGGGGTCCATGTCGTCAGCTTCCTGGGTGTCCTTCCAGATGTTTTATGTGCATCCCAGCAAATATGTATGGAGACGCATATTTTACACACTATCCTGCATCTCACTGTTTCCCTTTGTAATCTATTCTGTATGTCAGCTTCTAAAGAGCTTCCTCATTCTTTCGCCACATAGTTTTCTCTAGCAGGGGTGGCCCATAATTTATTTGGCCAGTCCTCTATTTAGACTGTAACTGACCTGTTGCTGTTACAAGCAGTGCAGTGGTAAACCCTGGATGTGTCACGAGGATGTGGATAAAACTGCAGGGTACATTTCTGGAAGTGGAAATACCGGGTCAAACGGATGTGTGTTTGGCATTTTGATAGCTGTGGTCTGATGGACATCTTTAGATGGTGTATCTGTGGATACCTCACATTGTGGTGTGAGAGAGTCTGTTCCCCACCCCTCACCATCACAGCATCATATCACACTTTTAGGTTTTGCTCACCTGGGCAGTGACAATAGGATCACAATGTGGGTTTGGTTTTGTTTTGTTTTGTTTAGGGATACAAGGTCTAGCTATGTTGCCCAGGCTAGTCTCAAACTCCTGGCCTCATGCCATCCTCCTGCCTCTGCTTCCTGATCAGCTGGGATTACAGGTGTGAGCCACTGCACCTGGCTACAGTGTAGTTTTAACTTAGTTTTATATGAATGAGGTTGAGTATCTTTTTGTGTCTGTGCCATTTGTTTTTCCTTTGACTAATCTACTTATCTCCTTGGCTCCTTTTTTTTTTTTAATTGGGTGGTGGTTTTTGTTCTTATTGATTTGTAGGAGCTATTTGTGTATGATGGAATCAGACCTCTGTCTGTGCTATGAATTGAAGACATTTTCCCCAAGTTGGTTTTTGTTTTTGATTCTGCCATGGAGGAATTTTGTTTGGAAAGTGAGACTTATCAGTATTTCCTTTTATGGCATTGGATTTTGTATCATACTTGGAAAGTCCTTCCTCAGGCTGAGATTATTATTTTTTAATTCCCCCAGGTTTCTTATAGATCTCTGATGGTTTTTAAGAAATGTATGAGACCGGGCACAGTGGCTCATGCCTGTAATCCTATCACTTTGGGAGGCCAATGCAGGTGGATCACGTGAGGTCAGGAGTTTGAGACCAGCCTGGCCAACATAGTGAAACCCCAACTCTACTAAAAATACAAAAATTATCCAGGCATGGTGGCACATGCCTGTAATCCCAGCTGCTCAGGAGGCTAAGGCAGGAGAATCGCTTGAACCCAGGAGGCAGAGGTTGCAGTAAGCCAAGATAGCGCCACTGCACTCCAGCCTGGGCAACAGAGTGAGACTTGGTCTCAAAAAAAACAAAAAAAAAAGTATGCTCTCTATATGACTTATAGTTTATTGGGTACAAAGTGTGAGGTGTGGATCTAAATACATTCAAGTATCAGTGCAGTGCTGTTTTAATTATTATGTTGTTTAAAAATTTTAGCCTTATTGAGATATAATTCATATACCATTCACCAATTTGGAGTGTACAATTCAATGATTTTTAGTATATTCATAGAATTATGCAGCCATTACCACAGTCAATTTTAGAACATTTTCATCACCTCAAGAAGAAAACCGACACCCATCAGCAGTCACCTCATCTCTCCTCACCAACCTCCTCCCCTTTCTCTACAATTTCCCTATTCTGGACTAGTGACTGGCTTCTTTCACTTAGAATAACATAAGTTCATCTGTGTTGCAGCATGTGTATATCCAGGTCGAGTAGCCCTTATCAGAAATGCTTGAGACCAAAGTGTTTTGAATTTTGGAAAATCTCATTATACCAGTTGCGCATCCCAAATCACAAAATCTGAAATGCTCCAATGAGCATTTCCTTTGAATGACATGTCAGCACTCAAAAAGTTACAGATTTGGGAATACTTTGGATTTTAGATTTGGGGTGCTCAATCTGTAATACTTTTTCTTTTTTTGTGACAGTCTCACTCTGTTTCCCAGGCTGGAGTGCAGTGGCACGATCTTGGCTCACTGAAGCCTCCGCCTCCCAGGTTCAAGTGATTCTCCTGCCTCAGCCTCCTGAATAGCTGGGATTATAGGCACGCGCTACCACACCTGGCTAATTTTTATATGTTTTAGTGGAGACGGGGTTTCACCGTGTTGGCCAGGCTGGCCTTGAACTCCTGACTTCAGGTGATTCACCCGCCTTAGCCTCCCAAAGTGGTAGGATTACAGTCATGAGCCACCGTGCCCAGCCCTATAGTACATTTTAGTATTTGGTAGAGGTTGTTGCTCCTTGTTCTCCCCCTCTACCCAAATTTCCTTGGCTCTTTTATTATTTTCTTGTCTGAACTATAGAATCAATTTATCTAGGTCAAAACAAAAATCCTATTTGTGCTTCTACCGGGATTGCATTACATTTACAGATGAATTTAGGAAGAAATGACACTTTTATGACACTGCCTTTCCCACCAAAACATGATACAGTTCTCTTTCATGTCTCTCGGGAATGTTTTAACATTTGCCTGGTTGAAATCTTCCACATTGTGTTGGTTATTTCTGGATAGTTTAGCTTTTTTAGCTAGCCTTTTCTTCCAGTGGAAGGTCACTTATATGAAGGCTGTTAACTTCTGCCACCTTACTGAATTATTTTATTGTTCTTAATGGTTTTTCAATTTAGGCGCTTGGGTTTTCCAGTTATACTATCATATGATTTACAAATGATAAATTTACCCCCTATTTTGTTTTATACCTTAATTTCTTTATTTTATTTAATAGTTGGCTACTATTTCTGGAACAATGAAACAATAATAGTGGCGATAATAGACATTCTTGCTTTGTAGCTTCTAGATTTCCCCATTAAGCAAATGCTGGCTTTGGGGCAGTTAGTTTATCAGGTTAAGTAAGTATCCATCTATTCCTGTTTTGTTGAGGATTTTAAAAATCAAGAATGGAAGTTGAACTTTGCCAAAAGACTTTTCAGTGTTTATGATCACATTTTTTCCCATCGGTGAGTTAATATGAATAATAGATTTCTTAATACTGAACTTATTGAACTGGGGTTTAATCCTTGCATTCCAGATTAAACCCCAGTTGGTCATGGTAAATATTTCTTTATAATATACTGCTGGATTGAATTTGTTATTTAGGATTTTTGCCTCAGTCTCGTCAAAGAGATTGTTCTTTGGTTTTCTTTCTTTTTTTTTTTTTTTTTTTTGGAACAATTTTGGTTGGGTTTTGCTATGTTACACTGACATCATGAAGAAAATAGAGGCTTTCCTTCTTTCTCTTTGAACAGTTTAAATAGACATGGAATTATCTGTTCTTAAAAGTTTGGTTGATCCTCCATGAAACTGTTTGGGCTAGTGCAGTTATTTGGGGTGAGTGGGTAGCTCTTTGATAATGCTATTTCTTCTCTAATAATTAGTTTGATTGTTTGTTCTACTCTTTTTGAATGACTTCGGTAAATTATGTTTCTCTAGAAAAGTATCCATTTTATCCGGGTCTTCAGATTGATTTGCATTAGTTTGAACTAAACAATTTTTACAACTCTTAAGTGGTGAGTTCACCCTTATTTCTTATATTGTATATTTTGTGCTCTTTTTCCTGTTTTTCTTCATTAGGTTAGTTAGCTAATGATACTGTCTATCCCCTTTCCCCAAAGATTCATCTTTAGGATTTATTTATTAGTAATTATTCTTTTCTGGTTTCTAACTCATTAATTTGTGCTTTTATCTTTATTAAAACCTTCCTTCTGCTTTTAGTTTTTTTCCCTTAGAGAGTTACATTTTTACATTAATCTTTTTTTAAAAAAGGAGAAATTCAGGCTACAAAGTCTCTGAGCACTTCCGAGCTATATGTAGTATTTTCATTATTATTATTTTCTAGATATTTTAAATTTTTAACCTAAGACTCATTTGAGTCCCACGCATCCACACAAATAGTAGGTGTTTTGTGTGTGTGTTTGTTTGTTTGTTGTTTGTTTCGAGATGGAGTTTCGCTCTTGTTGCCCAGGCTGGAGTGCAATGGTGCAATCTCGGCTCACCATAACCTCCACCTCCTGGGTTCAAGTGATTCTTCTGCCTCAGCCTCCTGAGTAGCTGGGATTACAGGCATGCACCACCATGCCTGGCTAATTTTGTATTTTTAGTAGAGACGGGGTTTCTCCGTGTTAGTCAGGCTGGTCTCAAACTCCCGGCCTCAGGTGATTTGCCCACCTCAGCCTTCCAAAGTACTGGGATTATGGGTGTGAGCCACCACGCCCAGCCTTGTGTTTTACTTCTAGGGTGGTGGTAGTGTTTTTTATGATCAGAGAATCTTGTCTACTATTTCTACTTTTTAGGAGTTTTTTGAAGCTTTCTTTGTGATATAACCTATGCTAATTGTTGTGAGCTTTGTGGATTTTTTTATGGGGACTTAAAAAGGTGTTCACTTTGTTTTCAGGATTCAGTTTGGTGTATACCAATTTTATCTCCCATTAATTAGGCTATTAGGTTTTCTATATCCTTACTTACCTGTCATGAATAGAGAAAGGAACTAGACACCTACTGCTAACATGTTCCTGTCTATGTCTTCTTGTAGCACCTGTATCTTTGGCTTTTGAATGGTGATGCAATGTTATTTAATGCATAGATATTAATAATCTTAAATCTTCATAATGAATTATATCCTAAGAGATAAAATTGAATCCAGGCCCAAAAGTCCAGGATTCAACTTTATCTGTTAAAATGGTAATCGCTGCCTTTTAAATTCACATTTTTCTTAAAACCTTTGCCAATCCTTGTATTTCAACCTTTCTGAATTACTTTGTTTAGATGTGACTCATATACTATAGAGTTGGATTAAGCTTTGTGATCCAGTCTGAATGCCCTTTTTTTCTTTTAATAGGAGAGTTTAGCCCATTTACATTTATTGATATGACACATGTGGTCTTAGTTCAGTCATTTGTGCTTTATTTAAGTTGTCCTAAAAAGTCTTTCACTGTGTGATTTGTGTTCTCTGCTTTGTTTTGTGTACCTACTAATAATAAGGAAGGTTGGTGGCCTTGTTCTAATGGTATAACTATTCCTTAATTCTCTTAGAATAGTATCTGTTATTTTCCCTAAGAGGAATAAAATGATGAAATTGGTAGATTTTTTCTCTCCACAACATTTTCTTAGAGTTCACTTCATATTTTCAAAACTCTATTGTCTAACATCAATTTTAATGATATGTTTTGATTCCAGCTATTAAAATTGACGATATCAGGCTTGGCACAGTGGCTCACGCCTGCAGTCCCAGCACTTTGGGAGGCCAAGGTGGGAGGATCACTTGAAGCCAGGAGTTTGACATAAAAACTAGGATATCAGTCTACTTATAATCTTGTCCCCTTCTTTCTTCCTTCCTTTCTCATTTGTTATTAGCGATGCTATTAGTGTATTCTCAGGGCTTATAATATAGCATCTGGTATGTCACCACAATCCCCACATTTGTTTCTTTAATAACAATAGTGCTCACTACCAAATCTTTTGCCTTGGTTCACCCATTGTCTGAAGTTGGTCCTCTAGTATATTCCTTAAGAAGGCCTCATGTGAACAATACTCCTGGAGTTTCTGCACATTCAGAACGGTCTCTCTATTGCCTTTCTACTTGAGTGGGTTTAAAAAAAAAAAAAGTTCCTGGTTCACGTTGTTTGCTTGAGGATTTTGTAGGTTTTGTTCTACTGTCTTCTAATATTGCATGTTGCCATGGAGAAGCTGAGGACTGATTTTTTTCCCCCATCTATTTGATTTCGATCTTTCCATATCTTTCATGTCCAGTTACTTGACAAGGATGTGTCTTGGAGTTGACCATAGAGAGTCTGTTTTCCCTGGAACACAGTATTGTGCCCTTTCAGTTTGCAGATCCGAGGCTTGTATTTTAGTTTCCTTCCTTGGGGACTCCAGTTAAGCACATATTGGCTATCTTTCACCTGTCTTCCCTATGTACCTTTTTCTGATTAGACCTTTCTGACTCATTTTATGTTGCTCACTTTTTTTCCCTATGTTTTCTGCACCTCTTTTTTTTTCTCCTGTGCTCATTCTATACTTGGACAGTATGATTTTTTTTTCTTCTGCTCTTGTATATCTTCTTTGTGTTTTTGCTTTATAGAAAGAACTGCTTACTAAATTTTTTCCTTCTTGATGAAATACTTGTCTATGATCTTCATCTCTTCTGTGACTATATCCTTCTGATGGGAGGTGTTTTTGGCCAACCATTAATTTACTTATGCTTTGCCTTGCTTTCATTTTTTAGTATATTTTTTATTAGGTCCTATGCTGGTTCAATTTAGATTATTTTTATTAGGTCCTATGCTGGTTCAATTTAGATTACTAGGAGGAAATGAGTTTTTCCCAGTCCATTTGCGGGAGCTTCAGGTTGGGGAAAAGCCAGGGCCATGTCCTGAGCTAACTAAAAATTTCCATACAACCCAGAGTTTCCTATGTGTGCTTATTTATCCTCTTTTTCCTCAGACCCAGGTTCCTGAAAATATGGTTTGTAGCCCCACCTATTTTTCTCTTCTAAACCAAGTAGGTCTAAGGGAAGAACCTGTCACCAGCTGACAAACCCCTCCTTTCACTGCTTCAAATAAGGGGTTTAGATTTTGTACTCAGGGCGTGCCCCTCACTTTTGGAAAGTGTTTGCTGCTGACTTTGAAATCTGTAGGTGTGGCCCTTTTTTCTGCTTCTTAGCCCTACTTGATCTCTGCTACTATTGGAAGCCTGTTCTTTTTTGTTTAGGGGTTTAGCAGCTACACTGTATTACACTGCAGGAATAAAAAAAATGGTAACATTTAACCAGCCCTTCCCTGATGGACATTTAGGTTGTTTCTAGTCTCTCACTATTCTAAACATTCCTGTAATGAACATCTTTGTACATGTGCATCTGTGCAAAAAAAAATTCCAGGCTGGACTGTCTCAAAGGGTCTGTGCCTTTTAACCTTTGATTGCTACTGTCCCCCTGTCAAGACTCCCTGCCCTCTGCTACCAGATGGCTAGAGGAGGGGCTGGGCCTGATGACCTGGGCTGGCCCTTCCTTCCTGCTCCAAAGCCAGAACAGGAGAGTGTGGATGGTCACCAAGGACATCCTGCTTCCCCCGCCCATTCAGATCCTTTGACATCTCTTCACTTATTGGAAAAGACAGTGACTCTGCCTGTAATTGAAGAGCACAGGAAACAGGAAGGCAGGAAGAGAGATAAGCAGCTAATTGAATTGGGTGCCCTGCTGCTGCCAATCAGTGCCTGGACGCTAAGTCAAGGAGGCTCCTGCCCTTTCCTCCCAGGCATGGTTCTTGGGTGATATGGCCCAGATCTCTCCTCTTGTCCCTGTTGCCCCTGGGCAGAACCAGGACAGGAAGGGCTTTGTGACCAGACCTGGGGCCATGCTGTGTTTTCAGCCAAGGGAGAAAGGTCTCGACCAGGCTTTGGACAACATGACCTTGGATGAGTGGTTCAGCCTTTCAAGGCTTCTGTTCTCCTCCCTCTGTAAAACAAGGGCTCAGATGAGGTGGACCTAAGAAGCCACCCAGCTCTGGCCCTCTGTGATGATAATGTCAAAAGCTTGGTTTAGGGGGACGAGGTGGTCCAGTCTGAGACCCCTGTCTCCCTTTTCCTGTAAAACAGGGATCAGAGTAGCTTGTGATGAGGTCTGGCTGTATGCTGAGAAATGGCCAGGGAACCAGAAAGAGCCACAGTTCACTTCTCTGGGATCCAAGGTCAGATGGGCCAGAGGAGGTGGGTTGCAATGAGCTGTGGGTCCAGGAGTTGGGGCGGCAGGCTGTCGTGGCCTGTCCTAGGTGACTGGGAAAAGTGACCTGCAGAAAAACAAAGGAACCTGCCTACCCCTGGGCCAGCAGCCTGTGGGTCTCAACTGCTCAGGGCCTTCCCCACTAATTAATAAATATTTGACTTTCCCATTATGGAGTTAATATGCAAACTTTGAGTCACACGCTGCTGAAAATACAGGCTGTGCAGAAGCCCCAGAGAGGCACCGTGGGGGCCTGTGGCGAGGTGGGGTTACTCAGGGACTGGGCCTCGTCCCTGTCCAAGGGTCCAAGGAGGGTGGAGCCAAGGCAGCTGTCCCAGGAGGCAGACATGAGCACCCACCCTCCTCAGCTGGACCTTGGGTAAGTGACGTGGCCTCTCTGTGCCCCACACTGCTCTTCTGTGGCTGAGGGTAGTGTGCCCACCCTGCCCCATCCCCATGAACCCCTAGGGCACAGGCTTTGGGACTGTCTAAGGGTCAAATACAGAGAGTGCCCTGATGGGGGTGTGTATGTATGGTCTTGGACAAGTTAGTGACTGTGCCTTGGTTTCCTCTGCTGTGACATGGAGACAGGAATGGAAGGAGAGGACCCCGCAGGGCCTAGCAGCTGACCCAGATACCTCACCTGCCCCCCCATCCCGGGGGGGGGAGCCTCTCCCACAATATCCATACCCACAAGGGGGCAAGAAACTCCACCACCCATATTGCTCGTGATAGATGAGAAGCTTTGAAGGGCTTGTCGTCCAAGAGGATCAGGGAGCAGCTCTTCCCCAATTCCCAGCCTCACCCCACCCCCGCCCTACAGACCCTCAGGACGCCGACAGGCTGGAGCTACTGCCTAAGTGAACCGCTGCCCACCAGCATTCCTGCAGGTGCCACTGCTTCCACTGATGCTAATAAAAGATGGAAGAAACAAAGCAATTTAAAATTCCAATGAAATTAAAAATAAATCTAGGGCCGCACAGCAGATTCAGTTACGTAGCTATTGCTGAGTGCAGCCTGAGGGATGGAAGGAAGGTCTGGGGCCACCCCTGCCGCAGGTACCAAGCCTGCAAGAGGACAGAGGCTCAGAGATGAAGGGCCAGGAGCAGGCCAGATAGATCTCAACCCTGTTTAGGATTTAACAACTGAAAATAAGCTCCAAGCCAACTAGGAAGGAAGTCAGCCTCTTTCATTTACCAGAGTCCAACCATGATCGACTACAAACAAACTTGAGGCTTGATAAAATCAGAGGGAGACAAAGATCCGAATCACTGCTTGTCCACACACTGCACAGAGGCTGTGGCCAGCACAGCTAAGCTAGGACAAGTAAATTAAAAGGTAGTATAAGGATTAGAAAGGAGTAAAATTATCTGCATAGAAAAACCCAAGAGCCCAGTTGCAGTAGTCCCAGCTACTCAGGAGGAGTCCAAGAGATCAGCCTGGCCAACATATTGAGACCCTGTCTCTAAAAAAAGAAAAAAAAAAGAAAACCCAAGAGAATAAGACTTTAGCAACGTAAGATCAACATACAAATGCAACCGTACTCCTTGACAGCAGAGGTTGGCAAACATTTTCTGCAAAGAGCAGATATTTTCAGCTTTGTGAGCCATACAGTTTCTTTTGTAATTTATTAACACTCCAGTTCTTGCAGGAATACAGCCACAGACATACATAAATGAATGGGTGTAGCTGTGTTCCAATAAGACTTTATTTACAAAAGCAGCCAGCAGGCCAGATTTGGCCCACAGGCAGTAGTTTGGGACTCTTTTTTTTTTTTTTTCTTTGAAACAGGGTCTTGCTCTGTTACCCTGACTGGTGGGCAGTGGCATGGTCATGGCTCGCTACAGCCTCGACCTCCTGGGCTTCAGTGATACTCCCACCTCAGCCTCCTGAATAGCTGGGACTACAAGCTCATGCCACCATGCTCAGATAATTTTTTAATTAATTTTTAGTAGGGATGGGGTCTCACTATGTTACCCAGGCTGGTCTTGAACTCTTGCCTCAAGTGATCCTCCTGCCTCAGCCTCCCAAAGCACTGGGATTACAGGCATGAGCCACTGCGTCTAGCCTGTCCATTTTTAAATTCAGCAATTTGTCTTTTTATTAAGTTGTAAAACTTCTTCATATATTCTAGATACAAGTCCCATATCAGGTGCATGATCTGCAAATATTTTCTCCCATTCTGGAGTTGTCTTCACTTTCTTTGTGGTATCCTTTGAAGCACAAAAGTTTTGAATTTTGGTGATGTCACAATGTCTTTGGTCACTTGTATTTTTGGTGTTTTTGTCTAAGAAGGCTTTGCATAACCCAAGGTCATGAAGATATACACTCCTGTGTTTTAAGAGTTTTCTGATTTTAGCTCTTCCATTTAGGTCTGTAATTCTTCTTTTTTTTTTTTTTTTTTTTTTTTTTTTTTTTTTTTTTTTTTGAGACAGAGTTTCACTCTTGTTACCCAGGCTGGAGTGTAATGGCGCAATCTCGGCTCACCGCAATCTCGGCTCACCGCAACCTCTGCCTCCCGAGTTCAAGTGATTCTCCTGCCTCAGCCTCCCGAGTAGCTGGGATTGCAGGCATGCGCCACCATGGCCAGCTAATTTTGTATTTTTAGTACAGACACGGTTTCTCTATGTTGGTCAGGCTGGTCTCAAACCCACGACCTCCGGTGATCAGCCCGCCTCGGCCTCCCAAAGTGCTGGGATTACAGGCATGAGCCACCGCACCCAGCCTGTAATTCATTTTGAGTTAAGTTTTGTGTACATCATGAGGAAAGGATCCGACTTCATTCTTTTGCATATCGATACCTAGCTGTCCCAACATTTGTTGAAGAGACCAATCTTTCTCCTATTGAGTTGTTTTGGTTCCCTTGTGAAAATCAATTGACCATAAATGTAAGGGTTTATTTCTGGATTTTCTATTCCATTGACCTGCATGTCCATCTTTATGCCAGTACCACATTGTCTTGATTCCTGCAGCTTTGTATTAAGTTTTGAAATCAGAAAGTGTAAATCCTCCAACTTTGTCCTCTTCCTTCAAGACTGTTTTGGCTATTCTGAGTCCCATGAAGTTTAGTCTCAGCTTGTCAAGTTCTGCAAAGAAGCCAGCTGAGGTTTTGATAGAGATTTGCATTGGATTTATAGATCAACTTAGGGAATATTGCCATCTTATTATTGTCTTCCAATCCATGAATACAGGGTGTCTTTCCATTTATTTTTCTTTCAACAATGTTTTGTAGTTTACAGATTTTGAGTTTTGCTCTTTTGTTAAATTTATTCCTCAGTCGTCTTTTTGATGCTGTTGTAATTGGAATTTTCTTAATTTTTGGACTCATTGTGAATAAATAGAGTTGATTTTTGTATATTGATCTTGTATCCTGCAACCTTGCTGAACTTCTTTATTCTAATAGTTTTTTAGTGAATTTCTCAGGATATCCTGTATACAAGATAATGTCATCTGTGACTAGAGATGGTTTTACTTCTTTCTAATATGAATGCTTTTTTTTTTTTTTTTTGTCTAATTGCTCTGGCTAAAACTTTTAGTACAATATTGAATAGGAGTGGAAAGATACTTTGTCTTATTCCTGATTGTAGAGGGAAAGCATTGAGTCTTTTACCGTGAAGTATGATGTTAACTATGTAGTTTTCATAGTTTTTTGAGTGTTTTTATCATGAGGGATATTGATTTGGCAAATGCTCTGTGTCTATTGGGATGAAGATGTGGTAGTTGTCCTTCTGTCAATATGGTATTAACATTAATTGATTTTTGGATGTTGAACCAACCTTGCATTCCTGGGATAAGTCCCACTTGGTCATGGTATATAGTCCTTTTTCTAAGTGGCTGGATTTAGTTTGCTAGTATTTTGTTGGTTTTTGCATCTATATTCATAATGGCTATATGGTCCATAGTTTTTTTGTGTGTAATATCTTTGTCTGGTTTTAGAATTAGGGTAATACTGGCCTTACAGAATTCATCTGGAAGTGTTCTCTCTTTTTTTTATGGAAGAGGTTGTGAATAATTAATTCTTATTTAAATGCTTGGTAGAATTCACCTATGAGGCCATCTAGGTCTGGGCTTTTCATTGTTGGTAGTGTTTTGATTGCTAATTCAATCTCTTTACTTGTTATAGGTCTATTCAGATTTTCAATTTCTCAAGTTAGTCTTGGTAGTTGATGTCTTTCTAGGAATTTGTCCATTTCCTCTAAATTATGAAACTCTGACAAAAGAGGCAAATGGCCTTTATGGAGAAGATAAGTTTATTCAGTGGTATTTTTTAAAGACCTAAATAAACTTAGAAATATGTCATGCATATAGACAGAGATTCAAATGGAAGAAATTCAGTCCCTACATCTTGAGCATTTGTGTGTGTGTAACTCAAAAGCTGACTTAATTGATAAAAGCAAAGGGACCAAAAATGGCCAAGGCACTTTTGAAAAAGAAGTATCAGGGTTGGGGAAGGGGCTTGTCCTGTTACAGCTTCAAGTTGAGACAGTGGGATCAGCACAAGGACCAGGAGACAAAGCAGGGGTTGCAGATCACTGGGGAGACATATGCCATGCTGGGGCAAGTGGTTATCCACAGGGAATAAGTGACAGAGGAGGCCTACCTCACACCATACCCAAAAAGGAATCCCAGGCAGACTAGAAATCTAACTGTGGAAAGCAAAACCATATCATTCTTCGAAGAAAATGATGGAGAATATAATCCCCAGGATAGAAAGGATTTCCAAAATGAGAGAAAAAAAAGACAAGCCACAAATTGAGAGTGGGTGTCTGCAACACTTATAATGGACCAGTGTCCAGAATAGAGAGCCACGGATGTGGCTGCAGAAAGACAATGATGGGAACAGGCAGGGAGCCAGGGGTGGGGAGGGGGCGGGACGGGTAGGTGAGTCAGAACAACATGTATATGGCTGGAGACAGACAGGAGTAGGTCTATGTCTGGAGAAGGCGAGAGATGAGGCCGGGCTGAAGGCAAAAGGACAGGCAGCAACATCAGGACAAGACAGCAAACACAGACAAATCTGGGGCCCTGGGTGCAGGCAGAGAGTAAGGTGTGGGCTCCCAAAGACAGAGCCCAGCTA
Source organism: Homo sapiens (assembly GCF_000001405.40). Taxonomy (NCBI): domain Eukaryota; kingdom Metazoa; phylum Chordata; class Mammalia; order Primates; family Hominidae; genus Homo; species Homo sapiens. The sequence goes on from NC_000012.12 coordinate 109,757,979, forward strand.
GGGAGTGGGCAAGGGAAACTGAGGCACATGGGAGCGTCAAGAAAGTCAGGCTGGAGAGGGATTAAAGTGTCCCCAGCCCCACCAGCAGGGCCACCTTGGCCGCTCCAGGGCTGTGGGGTGTGGAAGGTGCGTGTGGATAAATGTGTGCCCGGAGCACCTGACTGTCTTTGTATGTTGAGGGTGTCCCTGAATGTCTGGGCACACATGTGAGCATCTCAGCACACGTATGTAGCTTGCGTGTGTGCACATGTTAGAGAATGAGAGGCAGGGTCCTTTGTACAGGGCCCATTGTTCGCTGCTACCCTCCACTGCCAGTTCCAGCCCAGAAAGAGCTAAAAGGAAGGTGGCCAGCCTTTTCTGAGCACCTGTACCAGGCTGACTGACATGCATTCTGTCATTTCATCTCCATTCCCCTGCCCTCACGGGAAACAGACATCAGGAGAGCTGCAGTCACTTCCCTGAGGTTCCCTGGCTGGTCACTGGGATGTGTGGATTCACACCTGTGGCTGACCTCAGGGGCCCTCAGGCTACCACCCTAGTCATTCGGCTGGGGCAGGGTCCCTGGGACAGCCAGGAAGGTATGGAGCAGCCACTCCTGCCCCTCCCCACACCCCTCCCATAAAGGCTGGAGAACAGCTGTGTCTGCCCTAGCCCAGCCGCCGTCCCTGCCCCCACTCCTGGGCGACCTCATTAGGGATTCTGCCTCTGCCACCAGCTAATTAGTGTCACGTTAATTGAGCATTCAGGAGGCTGCCACCTCCAAGGGCAGAGTGTGGCAGCAAAGGGGAATGCAGATGTGGAGCTGCTCCCCCTGGCGAGCTGGGGCCAGGCCCTGTGCCAGGGACCCCTTCCATCCTAGAGAAGCCCTGGACACCCCTTGCTCCCCCATTTCAACACAGGTAATACCCTGAGCCCTAACAAAGGAGGCAGTAGACAAAGCGTGCAACGGCTTGAGAAAGAAACGACACTGGGTGAACACCTACTGTGTGCTTGCACACCTTTCACTCTCCCCTCTCCTATGGGAAGGCGAGAATTTGCTCCCTTCTACCGTCCAGAAAGCTGAAGTCCACCAAGGGAACCCCTTCTCCAGGGGTATGCCCAGTGAAGCAGTAGGAACCTAGGACCGCAGGGGGATCCAGGAGGTAGCTCTAGTGCCAGCAGAACCCACCTCCAAGTCTCCTGACTGCCACTCCCAGCTCCTTGGACAGGCGACTTGCCCTCTCCAAGCCTCAGCTGCTTATCTGTCAAATGGGGGCAGCCCCAGAATGCACCCCACAGGATGGTGAGGGCTGAAGAACACATGCCTCTCCCTGGACCCAGCCTGGCCCTGCCTGGCTCACTCTGCGGTAGGTGCCTGGGGTCCCATATCACAGGCCCTGTGGTGCAGAGTGTTGCAGTCCAAGCTCCCCGCTGCTCCATGGTCCCTCTGGCACATCCCCAACCCACTCCGCCTGCCCTGCCCCCTCCTCAGCTTCTGGAAGGCCCGCTCTTGTGTCTCCCTATAGCAACATTAAATCCCACTCAAAGGGCTGGTTTTAATTGGCTTAATATACTCGTTAATAACCGCATCTATTTAACACACCTGTAAAAGGCCCATAACATTAACTTAATGGCAGCGGCAGTTCGTCCAGCACTTCCAGCCCAGCCAGCCTTTTAAATTTCCCGACAAGTCTTTAATGGGGGCCGCAGCAGGCAGAGGCAGAGTGGGGGAAGGAGTGGCCCCAGTACACAGTGGGGAGCACCCTGGCTTCTGCACGTTTGAGCCCAGATGCTGCCTGGCGGCTGCCCCTGCAACCTCTCAAAGGCCTGGGAGCGGGATTCTTTGGCCTTGGAGCCGCCATCCATGGGACGCTTTCCAAGCACCTTCGGTGGTGGCAGCTGCAATTATTTAGATGTCAGGGTGGTGAGAAAAAACAGGATCTGCCCTAGAAGGTCTCCAAATCTAGCCCAGGAGAAAAGTAGACCGACAGCTACAGCATGGGGGTCCTACGAGGGCACGTCAGGGGCTGCCTGGCTGAGGGACACCTTGGCTGAGACCTGAGGGTCAGGAGAGCCAGTGGGCCAGGGGTATGTAGGCAACCCCTCTTACTGCATTTACCCAGCACACAACGCAAGCTCCTACTGTGTACCATGCACCAGTGGGCACCAGTGCATGGTGGAACGCTGGGTGGAGGCCATCCCTGCCTCATGGACAGCACCCCCACACACACATTTCACCACTTTGGATCAGGTGCTGTGACTCACAGATGAGGCCCTTTGCATAGGGGCGTGGGGCAGGGGAAACACATACAGACCCGGAGAGCAGTCTGTTCAGGTGGTCAGCACGGGGAGGCAGTGCTTCAGTTAGACCCTAAAGGACCAGTGAGGCTCCGGTTATGGAGGAAAGAGGGCACATCAGTGTGAGAGAATGGGCCCGAGCCACAGTACCAACGCTGCCCAGTGACTGAGAGCAGGAGCCAGGGGGATGGAGGACCTGGGCTCAAATCCTGGCTCACAAATCCTCTCTTGGCCACCAGTGGTCTCAAACTGGCAGCCTGTGGACCACATCCCGCCCACCTGGTGTGTGGTTGGCCCTGCTGGGTATTTGAACGCTGCTTAAATGTGAACATTCTCTGGTCAGGACACACCCTCCCTGCCCACCTCAGTCCCTGCCATCTGTCCTCTCTAGGCATTTGTTTGTGACCCCCGCTTGACACTCTACTCCTTGAACGTCTGACCTCTTCTGAAGCACGGGGCTGCCACAAGGACTGCGGAAGGGCAAGGCCATGAGGGTTTGGCACAGTGCCTGGCCTGGAGGGAACAGTCAACAGAGGGTGGCGTATGAGAGGAAGCTGGGGACGCCATGTGTGGTTCCAGGGGCCTGCGGGAAGGAGACCTGGGCCAGGTGGCCAGGGCCTTGAATGCCACCCTCAGCAGCTCAGACTCACGCAAGCAGGAGCTCAGTGGAGGGGTTACAGAAAGAGGCAGCTGGGAGCTTGGAGGCAGTGGAGGGGGCTCCGATGAAGTCATCAACCCCACAACCATGCCCCCACTGAGGGCAGGCACTGAGCTAAGCCGGCTCTTAACACCTCTCACAGAACCTCCCAGGTCAGCAGCAGCATTCACCCATTTCACACAAGGGAAAATGAAAGCTCAGAGAGGGACAGTGGTGTGCCTCAGGCCACACAGCCAGTGTGTGGCAGAGCTGGGACTTGAACCAGATCTGTGGCTCAGAGTCCACGAATTCCACCTGCAGCCCCACCCCCAGATGCTGTAAGGCTGCCCCCCCAGGCCTCTGTGCTCTTCCCAGGAGCAGAAGCTGCCTCACCAAGGTGGGTGGCGAGCCAGAAGGGTCCACGGGAGTACGAGGAGCTTTGATGCAGCTGCCAAGGGCACTACCCCAGGCTCCAGGCAGGACCCGAGGAGGACAGGGAGCTGTGCGCCCCTCCCCCCATCCTAAATCAATACTCAGTCACTGGCTGCTGGCAATTATAGAAAAGCACAGAGGAGTAAAATCCCCCTGCCATCCCATAACCCGGGCCCTCTTCCCCAGGCAGGCTGCTGTCAGCATTTGGGGCTTGTTCCTTCACACCTTGGTTCTATCTCCTTCCAGAGAGAAGGAGAGAGCCTGCGAGGGTGTAGTAAGTTACAGGCATGTGGGAGCCGCCTCTTTCCATGTGTCTCCCTGTCCATATCCCCCACATCTCCAGGCCTCTCGAACCTCATGTTTAGGGCCCAGCAAGTCCCATTGCTTCTGAGGGCCCCTGGGTGTGGGTACTCTGCCTGGAGCTGGCAGTTGGGCAGCTCCCAGGGCTTCCTTTGGCCCCTTTCCAGCCAGCAGCCTGGGGGGTCGTAGGAAGACCTGAGTCAGATCTCTCCTCTCGGCTCAGAACCTTCCAAAGCAGAGGAAACCCCCGGGTCCTGGCAGTGGCCCTGAAGCCTGCCGGTTTGCAGTGCACTCCCACCTCTCCAGCCTGTCTTCCCCACCCACCCTCACCCTGCACCAACTGCTTCCCCAGCTGTGCCAGGTCCCATGCATTCACCAACCCCCCAAGACTACCTTCCATCAACCATCCACATGGCTCCTTTGCCCACCTCCCTCCAATCTGTACTCCAAAGCCACATTATCAGAGGAGGCTTCTTTGCTGACCACCCTGTCCAAGCTAGGTGCCGCTGCATCTTGCCACTCATAGTCCCATGCCCTGCTGTTCTGGTTACTGTAGCTGTGTACTAACCCAAAACCAGCAGTGCCAAACAGCCAGTCATGCTCGGGAATAGGGGCCGGGCACAGTGGGGAGGGTGCAGCTGCCCTGTGATGTCCTGGTGATGGTAGGGGCCATGGAAATCTTCTGAAGACCTGCATGCTCACATGTTAGGCCTCAGCTTCGTCAGAACGCAGTGGCCAGGTTCCAAGGATGGAGGTCCCAAGAGAACATATTCCAGGTGGAAGGCACATTGCCTCTTACAACCCAGCCATGAGAGTCACACGGCGCCACTTCCATGGCATCCTATTTATTTGATAGAATGGAGTCACGAAGCCGCAGGCCCCCTCCCCACCATCCTTGCCACTGCTGAGAAGCCTGTCCCAGCCCGCTGGCTCACCCACTTCCTTCATGTAAGACCTTTTCCTGTCATTACATTTACCAAAACGGGACTGTGCAATTGCACTAAACACTCGCAGCTGGGCCCACTTTCAAGGGAGAGTCTAGAGCCTTCACCAAGCTGGGGTCAGGGCCCCAAGTAGTCTGGGACCCCAAGCCACCTCCATTGCTACTCTGGTGGAACAGGTTGGGTTTGAGGCACCCATGGGTGAGCTCAGGAAAGTCCTTCAGGGAACAAGATGTAAAGGAGGAGCTGCAAACCCATTGGCTTCCAGGGGCCACCGGAGCACTGTGGCCAGGCCAGGCTTCAGACAGGGACTCCAGTGACCTGGAGGCTCATGCCCCACCTGAAGGCACTCACATTCAAAGCACGTTGAAGCACTGAGCAGCTCCCCCAAGCCCATCTCTAAGAGGGACTGGGGCTCAGGGCCACCAGCTGGAGGTTGCTAGGTGCCAGGCAGAAGCCCAGGGCAGGTGTGAGAGCTGCCTCCCTGGGTGGCCTCCCTGCCTCCTTGAGCCTCTAGGCTGACTCTGTGGTCCCTTCTCAGGACTGTCCTCCTCCTGATTCTAGGGAAGAGGAGGGCCTCATGAAGCCCCTGGCTTTGCCCTGCCTCAAGGTGGAAGTAGGGTGAAGACAGCCTGGAAAGCAGACAGACTGGGCCTGAATCTCAGCTCCACCCTTTGCTGATTGCATGCTCTTGGGAGACTCTGAGCTTCCACTTCCTGCTCTGTACAGCGGGAACTGCATGAGTCACCTACTGCCGTGTGACAAGTAAAACTCAGTGGCTTAAGGCAGCAACAGTCATTTAATATTTCTCATGGTTTCTGTGGCTTAGGAAGTTGGGAGCAGCTTGGCTAAGTGGTTCTGCTCAGGGTCTGTCATGAGGTTGCAGTCAGGATATTGGCCAGGGCTGCACTCTCATCCAAAGGCCTGACTGGGGCTGGAGGATCTGCTTCCAAGAAGTCTCACATGGTCTTCTTGGCTGAAGGCTGCAGTTCATGGCTACATGGGCCTCTTTCTCCATGGGCTGCTTCAGTGTCCTGGCACAACAGTGGCTTCCCCCAGAGCAAGTGGTCTGAGAGAGCGAGTGAGGAGGAAGCCACAACTACTTTTATGACTGAGCCCTGGAAGCCATATTCTTTCACTTCCAGAGTATCATACTAGTTATACAGGTCAGTCCTGTTTGGTGTGGGTCCCAGGGACTGGACAAGGGCATGAATACCAGGAGGTATAAAAATCATTGGAGTGAGTGGCAGATCATGGAGGCCAGCTGCCAAATGTCCTAACTTGTCTGTTTCCTCATCAGTAAAACAGGGACCATCTCCCACCTCTAGGTTGTTGGGGCCTCCAAACGAGAGTCATCAAGAAAAGCCATGGAGGCTGGGTGCCGTGGCATCTCAAAGTGCTGACCTGTAATCCCAGCACTTTGAGACACCAAGGTGGGAGGGTCACTTGAGCCCACGAGTTCGAGACCAGCCTGGGCAACATAGTGAGACCCCATCTTTACAAAAAATACAAAAATTAGCCAGGTGTAGTGGCACACCCTTGTAGTTCCAGCTACTTGGGAGACTGAGGCAGGAGGATCACTTGAGCCTGGGAGGTTGAGGCTGCAGTGAGCTACGACTGTGCCACTGCATTCTACCCTGAGTAAGACCCTGTCTTCAAAAAAAAAAAAAAAGCCATGGCCCTGGAGCCTAGCACATACTAGACGCTCACCAAAATGAGCTTCTGTATTATGGCACTTTCTGTGGAATGGCAGAGGGACCAGGTCACCCTCAATGAGCCCTGTTGACCACATGGGGGCAAAATGCCCCTTCTTTCAGTGAATGGGGACTAGGAACAGGCACTCCTTTTTTTTCTTCTTCTTCTTAAGGTTTTAAACACCTAATTTATTCCGTCCATTAGATAGATTTTGTAGATTTAATCATTTTCACAGTTGGTGGCTCATTGGATACTCAAGATAAACTCCAAATGAAAGTATAATGGTGAGGACAAATGAGTTTTCACACCACAATGGCAGAAACTTGCTTGGGAAGAGAGTTTAAGAGGAACAAAAATACATACAGATATAATTTTTTTTTCCCCGGCAGCTGCTTTTGCTGACTCCAGTAGGTTACCACAGTTAATTTCACCAGTTTTGTTCATCTGTAAAATTGCATAAAAGTGACATTTTTGTGCTCATTATAGCAACTGCTGATTTATGGCTGGTAAATGAAGAGCTGGTCCCTTTTTTGCGGGACTCTCCGAGTGGCGCTAAGTGCCCATGAAATTGCTTGTATAATGTAGTTTAAATCCAATCTCGGAGAAAGATTCCCCCGTTGGCCAAAGTGACATTTCCATTCTCCACACCGAGTTTATTTTAGGCCACTTAGGAGGAGGCTGCCCCGGGCAGAGTCGGGATGGGGGTCCATGGCTGGGTCCACTTGCCCAGCCCCAGTGAGGCCAGATGAACGGAGAGCCACCTACTTCTTCACTCCCTGCTGCCCTGGCCAGGTCAGACCACACCCTTCACCCAGGGCAGAGGCAAATAAGCCCACTGAAGCTCATTTGCCTAGGCTCATAGGCCTGCCCATGCCTTACCCTGCTTAAAACCTCCCATGGCTGCCCAGTGCCCCACGTCGGGGCCTCTCCCCCTTTGGCCCTGCTGACAGTTGGGACTGGACCCTTTTCTGTGGCAGAGCTGTCCTGTGCATTGTAGGATGTTTAGTGGCATCCCAGGCCATGACCCACCCGATGCCAGTAGCACCTCTACCCCTAGCTGTGACAGCCAATCATGTCTCTACACACAGCCAGAGTGCCCCGTGCAGTGAGAGCCGCTTTCCTGCAGCGAAGAGGCCCTCCCGGCCGGCCACCTCTCTTGGGCTTCTCTCTGCAAGCCTGCCCCGGTGCCTCTCTCCTCCCGAGTCATTTGCAGTTCCCACCCTGACTACTTCTCTGCCTCAGGGCCTTTGCCTGGGCTGTTTACTCTGCCTGAAATCTGTTTCTCCCTCCCTTTTCACCTCTTCTACCAGTGGCCCAGGACTTAACCAGGATACAGTTCCTTTTGGGAAGCTGTCTCTGGACCCCCATGTCCCGCCACCGCCTGTTCCTCTCCATCCCATTTCACTTGGATTGGTTGTGAGCCCACGAGGTGTCAGGGACGATGCTTTAGAAGGTTGGGACATGGCCAGCAGCCTTCTGATCAGTGGGGAGGTAGCAGGGTCTGCACTCTATCCCCAGCTGCGATGCCAGTCCCACCTGTGCCTGTCTGAAGGGTGGCATGAGTCCCCTGCCCCTTTTCTGGGAGGGCCCTTTCTCTGGGCAGATGGGGAAGGTATTAATACTCACGCTCACAGAACACCAGCTTTTGTTAACGCCATCTACCGCACATGACCCGTCAAACCCTCCCAGCCATCTTGGGAAGTAGTATTAGCAGTAGCATCACCCCATTTTACAGATGAGGAAGCAGAGGCCGAGTGGTGAAGCTCCTCTCCCAGGCTCCCCTGAAAGTAATGAGCTCCAAGCACCTATCATGTACCTCACCCCCTACTGAGCCCCCGGCGCCTCCATTCCTTGAGGCCACCTTGGAGACCTGGCATGATCATGACCCTCATTCTACAGGTGGGAAAACAGGCTCAGCTGGGCAAACTACATGCCCAGGGCCATTCCATCTGCCTCATGGAACTCCACCACCACCACTCTCCATACCCCCTCAGCCCCGGAAAGCTGTGGGCTGCCCTTGGGAATGTCTCAGGACCAGGGAGGGGCTATGGATGGGGGCAGGAGTCTGCCCGCCATGGCCCTCCTTCCCCATGGCAGGGCCAGTTGTGTCCACTTATAGTGGGGACAGTCAGCCTGTAGCACAGAGCGTACCCTTCAGCCCCATGCAGGCGGCTCACTAAAAAGGCAGCAGCAGCCATGCTGGCCTTACAGGTGAACAGTAGACTCAAGGAGGGGCCAGGAAGCAAGAGGCAGCAGCTCGCCCTGGCGCTAAGCCCCATCTGCCGTGTTCACGTAGTAGCACACTTAACCAGCCAATGAGGTGGGCAGGGGGTCATCATCCCGTTTCACAGGTGAGGAAGGAAGGCATACGGAGGATAAAAGGGTTAGAAGGAAGGAATGTCCCCCAGAGTGGTGACAGAATGAAAGATGACACCAAGCACTGGCAGGTTGTGGGGCCACTGGAACTCCTGTGCTCTGCGGGTGGGAGTGTAGCCTGGCATGGTCTCACGGATAAATGGTCAGGCATTTTCTCCCGAAGCCGGGCAGGGGCATCTCCCCTGTGACCTAGAAATTCCATTCCTGGGTATATTTCCAACAGAACTCTGCATGCACTAGGGGCCATGGCACTGTATTTATTTACTTTTATTTTTTTGAGACAAGGTCTTGCTCTATCGGCCAGGCTGGAATGCAATGGCACAGTCACAGCTCACTGTAGCCTCCAACTCCTGGGCTCAGGTGATCCTCCCACCTCAGCCTCCAAAGTAGCTAGGACTATAGGCATGCACCATAATGCTTGGCTTCTTTTTTTTTTTTTTTTTTTTTTTTCTTATAAAGACAAGGTCTTGCTGTGTCACCCAGTCTGATCTTGAACTCCTGGGCTCAAGCGATCCTTCCACTTCAGCTTCCCAAAGTGCTGGGATTACAGGTGTGAGCCACCTCACCCAGCTAGAAACAACCCAAATGCCATCAAGAATAGAAAGGTTGGGCCAGGTGCAGTGGCTCATGCCTGTAATCCCAGCACTTTGGGAGGCTGAGGCAGGAGGATCACTTGAGCTCAGGAGTTTAAGACTGGCCTGGCCAACGTGGCGCAACCCCGTCTCTGCAAAAAATACAAAAATTAGCCAGGCATGCTAGCGCATGCCTAGGATCACTTGAGCCTAGGAGGTCGAGGCTGTAGTGAGCCATGACTGCACCACTGCACTCCAGCCTGGGTGACAGAGCAAGACCCTGTCTCTAAAAGAACAGAAACGATGAATAGATTGCGGCATAGTCACACAACAAATACCATACAGCGATGAGACAGACCAGACTACTCCCCACACAGCCACCTGGATGACTCTCACATAGTATGAAGTGACAGAAGCCAGGTGCAAATGAGTACATACTGTAGAATTCCATCTTACCACATACACAAACCAGGCACAACCAGTCCATGTTAGAAGTCAGGATAGTGGTTAGCGTGGTGTGGTTAGAGACTGGGAGGGGCCCAGGGACCCTACAGGGGATTAGCAATGTCCTGTCTCCTGGCCTGGGTACCATAAAACAGGTGTGTTCCTTTTGTGAAAGTCCATCAAGCTTATGATGCAGGCAGTTCCCTGCACTTTACACTGAAATTCGAAGTTTAAAAATGTAGAAGGAATAAGGAGTAAAATGAATGGGAAATGAGTGGAGGGGGCGGGACTCGTGAGCCCTGTGGGGAGAGGTTGGCATGGCCTCCTGATGGGCCCTCACACCTGCTTTCCTCCCACAGGCGAGGCGGTGGCCAGCGCCATGCATTCCTCCCGCTACCCGAGCCCAGCAGAACTGGACGCCTATGCCGAGAAGGTGGCCAACAGCCCGCTGTCCATCAAGATCTTCCCCACCAACATCCGTGTGCCCCAGCACAAGCACCTCAGCCGCACAGTCAATGGCTATGACACCAGTGGCCAGCGCTACAGCCCCTACCCACAGCACACCGCTGGCTACCAGGGCCTTCTGGCCATTGTCAAGGCCGCGGTTTCCTCCTCCAGCACGGCCGCACCAGCTGGGCCCGCCAAAAGTGTGCTCAAGAGCGCCGAGGGCAAGCGGACCAAGCTGTCACCGGCCGCCGTGCAGGTGGGCATTGCGCCCTACCCAGTGCCCAGCACTCTGGGTCCCTTGGCCTACCCCAAGCCACCTGAGGCGCCTGCTCCACCACCCGGCCTGCCCGCAGCCGCCACTGCCGCCTCCGTCATCCCCCTGCCGGGCCGGGGCCTGCCCCTGCCACCTTCCAACCTGCCCTCCATCCACAGCCTCCTGTACCAGCTCAACCAGCAGTGCCAGGCCCCGGGCGCCGCACCCCCTGCCTGCCAGGGCATGGCTATTCCCCATCCCAGCCCTGCCAAGCACGGCCCAGTGCCCAGCTTCCCCAGCATGGCCTACTCGGCTGCAGCCGGTCTGCCCGACTGCCGGAAAGGCACTGAGCTGGGCCAGGGAGCCACCCAAGCCTTGACGTTGGCTGGGGCCGCCAAGCCTGCAGGGTACGCAGACAGCGGCCTGGATTACCTGCTGTGGCCGCAGAAACCGCCCCCACCGCCGCCCCAGCCACTGCGTGCCTACAGTGGGAGCACGGTGGCCAGCAAGTCCCCTGAGGCTTGCGGGGGCCGGGCATACGAGCGGGCCAGCGGGTCACCCCTCAACTGTGGCGTGGGGCTGCCCACCAGCTTCACCGTAGGCCAGTACTTTGCGGCCCCGTGGAACAGTGTGCTGGTGACACCCACCAGCGACTGCTACAACCCAGCGGCGGCGGTGGTGGTCACGGAGCTGGGGCCGGGGGCAGCCCGGGAGCTGGCTGGGCCCCCTGCAGATGCCCTCTCGGGCCTGCCCAGCAAGAGTGTGTGCAACACATCGGTGCTGAGCAGCAGCCTGCAGTCACTGGAGTATCTCATCAACGACATCCGGCCGCCCTGCATCAAGGAGCAGATGCTGGGCAAGGGCTATGAGACGGTGGCCGTGCCCCGGCTACTCGACCACCAGCATGCCCACATCCGCCTACCCGTCTACAGATAAGGCCTGCCCTGCGGACATACGGACATGCGGACAGGGCGCAGAGCCGGGAGGCAGGCCGCAGAACAGGGTGGGCGGCTCGCAGGGGCGCTCAGCCCCACCCTGTGCCTGCTGATGCCCACAGGGGAGCCAGGCTGGCTGCCGCCTCGCTGTGGCCGGATGGAGGGTGGCAGGGCAACCTCACATACCAAGGCCCCTCCCCACCATCGGTTGCCCCAGGACACAGTGAGGGCCTGGGGGCAGCCACTGACGCCCATGCCTTCCTTTATCTAAGCTGGCAGAGGCAGGGAGAGAGAAACCACTCAAAAACAGGAATGGTTCTTTCTGGGCCTCCTGGGACAGGGGCCCAGGCCAAGGTGGGGTGCAGGAGGAAACAGGCGCACCAGAGTCAGGGTGGGGGCAGGGCAGCCCCCCCAGGGGTCAGGCAGCTGTGTCTCCCCACACTGGCTCCCCAGTATTCTGGAAAAGGGGTACAGGAGGCCGATAGGAAGTCACTGGGCCCAAAGTGTCTCCCCACCAGCCAGGTGAAGACCACTCTGACAGAGGCTCCAGGGACTATACCAGTCCCCCTGTTCCTCCTTCCCCTACCCCCACCATTCCTTCCTAACACAGAGTTGCACCCCCATCCCCATTCTCCAAACCCTGGACTACCATATTCCCCCTTCCCTCCAATACATCTTATAGGGCTGCTGGGTACAGTTGTTCAGGCTGTGCACTGCACAAGGGCACCTTGTCCAAGGAGACACCACTTTCACCCAAACTTGTATATTTATTACAATTTTCTGCATCTTGAGGAAGGGGCGTCATTTTCCTGTTCGCACAAAGGCACCACAGGGGCTAACAGTGGGCCTGCAATCTTAGATCCCATCCTTGCCTTCTTCGAGGGATCTCTTGGGACCCTCCTGGTTTTAACTGGGAGGCCCAGACCAACTCCTTTCCTGCAAACCACCCTCCAAGGCCTGTCCCACACGATCAAGGCAGGGAAAGATAGGCAGGAGTCCCCTCACGAAGTCCTCAAGTCCTGGCCCCTCTGGCGCTCTGGAAGCGGTACTGTATCTCTCTCCAAGGCCTGGTCAAGCACTAAGTGCATTTACAAATCTCTGAGAATGTTTTTTTTATACTAAAATTGACCATTATATTCTACTGTGAGAAGTGCAGTCTGCACTATATTGTTTTAAAAACGAAGAGAAAGAAGAAAAAGGAAAACACAGATGGTGTCTCAGCTGTCGGGTTGCTTTTGTAGCTCTTGTTTTCGTTTTCTTTCTTCCTCCCCTTAGGAGTGAAAGGGGCTGTCTCCTCCCAGCTGACCAGGCTTGCAGCCCGGGAGGGAAGCAGGCCAGGAACCTCCGGGTACCTCCTGTGCGTGGAGCATCCTGCCCTCAGTGCTTCCCCTATTCCAGCTCTTTCAAGATGGACATTGTCATTTAGCACACAGGCTGATGGCTGCTAGGTCACGGCCATCAGTCGATCCCTAGAGCAGCAGAGACAGAACCAAACGGGGGCCCTCTTCCTCATTCCCTTCATGGTGGTCTCGGCGGGGGCATCTCCCCTCCATCACAATTTCTTCCCAGCTCTTCCTTGTGCCTGGCATGCTCCAAGGGGCCATGGTGGCAGTGGGGCTGGGGACAGGCCACAGTGGCTAGGCAGCAGCCATCTCCATGGCCAACCCCATCTCAGCCAGGCCAGACACCCCAGTGCCCACCCACCCCCTGCTCTGGTGCCTGGGGATTTGCAGGAGACCACTGCTGCCCCAGGGAGCTCAGCATTTATTAGGCCTTGGCTGTGCACCAGGCATTTTCCTACATACTGTATCTTGCCAAAGCCTCACAACACCCTTGCAGGGTGGGAGGCGTTCGAGAGGAAAAAACTAAGACGCGTAGTGATCTGTGCGAGGTCACACAGCAAATCTGTGGGAGGCTAGGGTTCAAACCTCACAGCATGGACTCTTCCCTGTGTCCCGTTCCTGCCTTCGCCTCCTCCCAGCTCTTCTCTCCCAGCCTCCTAGCCCAATATCAGGGCCGGAGGCACTGGAGAACTTCCGGCTAAGGCAGGCCTCCCCTCCCATTCACAGAGCCCTGCCAGGGTGGCTGGCAATGGTGAAGTCCAGGGCAGAGATGGGGACAGAGGGGACGCCTTGGATTCGACTCTGTGGTGGGTGGTCCACCTCCCTGAGACCAGGCATCCACGTCGGGCAGCACATGCTACCCAGTCCACAGAAGAGGAAACAGAGGCTCCGAGAGGAAGGGACTGTGTCCAGGGCGGGACCCAGGCCCTTCTGCACTGGGTCAATGAGCCAAGCACATCACCCCAGCCCCTGGGGAGCAGGAGCCGGGCCCTGCAGGGTGAGGAGCTGGGAAAAGCAGAGCTCCATGGAAGGCAACCGGGAATCATCACAAATAGGACATAACTAGTATAAACTGCAATTGACAGAGTGCTTTTCTGACCTCACTTGAGTCTATCAGGTAGATGATAAAATCAGGCCCATTTTACAGATGAGGACACAACCTGACCAACGGCCACGAGGATGTTGAGAGGGAGCGAGGTGTTCTGGCTGCAAGCCCCACCCCCACCCTCATTCATAATCAAAGCCCGCCTGGGTGCAGCCGGAACCCGGGGGAGCCTGGACGGGGCAAGCCCAGCAGGCCCAGCCTCTGCAGTGAGCTAGACTTGGGTTCCAATCCTGATAATGCCACCGTGAGTGACCCTAACCAATCCATTTCCCAAGGGGGGGCGGCACCAGAACCAGAGATGGAATTCAAGCAGACAAAAGCACAGTGTGAGCACTCGGGGAGGGAGTGGGGCAGGAAACCAAGGTCTAGGGCCAGGTGTTACACTGGGAGGTGGCCTATGTCTCAGCTGTTCCCAGGTGTCACCACTGGGGCCACCCAAGCACCAACTTGGTCACCCAGGTCCCCATGTCCTTGGTCAACTGCCAGGCGTACCCACACTGGGGCATCAGGAGAGGGGAAACGGGAGAGGCTGGAGCCACTCTCCATGCCCGGTCCCTCATATTTGGATATCAGAGCAAAGGATGCACCTGCTATCCTGGAAAAACCTCCTCATCCTCCACAGGGTGGGGTCTGTGTGCGTGGCAATGTAGGGGCGCATGGCACAGTCTGGGTCTGGGCCCAGGAACCCAGCTGGGGCTCTAGCCCTGACTACCTGTGCCTCCTTGGGCCTCAGTTTCCCCATCTAGGAACTGGGCTGGCTGATCTCAAAGTGCCCTCCGGTGGCCATTCTAGCATGGTTTCTTTATACAATCAATCACCTTTGATTACCACATTGATGGGGGGAGGACAGGTGACGAAAGCATTGCTATCACTGCTACAATTACTGAGATCCCACACTTAACTACAGGCAGACCAGATACCAGGCTCGGGGCTAAACGTTACTTGTGCCTCACAACCACTCGGCGCAACAGAGGTGCATGCACCCACATTACAGACAAGGTTAGTGAGACCCACAGAAGGGCAATCACTTTGCCCAAAGTCACACAGCTGAGGATGAAGAATGGAGAAGTGGCTGGGATAGAACACAGGCCTGTCTGATTCTGAGTCCTAGTTCCCAGCTGCAACCCTTTGCAGAGAATAGAAAACAACTGTCAACCGCCAAATGTGGCCAATTTGGCTCCAGAACCCAGGCACAGCCTTGGATCCCAGAGCCCCAACTGCCCAGACATCCCGGTGGGTGAGGGAGAAAGAGAGGAGAAGCCACCATCTCATCCAGGCCCCGGGCAGGAGCTGCAGTCCTTCTCTAGGTCTCTGTTCTGACACTAGGATCCTTCTCTCTCTACTTAGCTGTCCTGGGCTCACACCCTTTACCACGGAGCTGTCCAATACGGTAGCCTGGTGTGCAGAAAACCTCGGCTATCACTTCCTGTCATAGTGACCATTAGAAGATCACCCCAGGTCAGAGACAGGTGACCTTACAGAGAGATCAGAGCTGCCCCAGAAGGCCACGGGGGCTCAGGCGCAGATTTGGATAGAGGAAGCTATGTTAGTAGACACTCACCTTTCCAGGGTGGCTCTGTGTTTTCTTCACTCATATCCCTGTCTTTATATCACAACCCCATTTCTGGAGCGGGGAAACTGAGACAAGTTCCAACTTCTGAACTTGCCATCCAAACAGCGACTCCTAACTTTGCCCTACTCAGCTCCCTCGGCTGCAGCCTGGACTCCTCCACGCGCAGCTCCACGTGTGCCCAGCACCACTGCGCCTGCCCATCCCTCCCGGGCGCTCTTAAAGGGCCCACACCCCGTCCCACCCCCAACGTTGGCCGGAGAAGGTGGAGTCCAGCCAGCGCGATAGGTGAGAGCAAGGGACGAAAGGTTTTCTGTTTAAATTGCCACCATCACCAGCTCGCCAGCGAGTGGCAGGGGGAGGGGAGGAGGCAAGAAAACGGAACTTAGTATCCCACTGACTCCACGTGTGACCCTGGGTGACTTGTGTGCCTCTCTGAGCCTCAATTTCCAGATCTGTTGAAGGAAGTGGTGGCACCTGGAGGAGTGAGGTGGCATCAGGTGATGTGTGGTCAGGATGATAGGGCAGATTCGTCCTGTAAGAGGACCCCTCTGAGTGCTGTGGGATGTAGTTGTCTGAGGGTCAGAACTCGTTCCATCCTGAGGCTGTGTGCAGGTGTGTGTGACCTCAGGCAAGTGATCACTCCTGAGTCATCTATTTCCCAACTGTAAAATGAGGCTCCAACGGGGAGCTGTGGCTCATACCTGTAATCCCAGCACTTTGGGAAGCAAAGGCTGGAGGATCACTTGAGCCCAGGAGTTCAAGACCAGCTTGGGCAGTATCACGAGACCCCTATCTGTACAAACAATTTTAAGATTAGCTGGGTGTAGTGTGTGCCTGTAGTCCCAGATACTCAGAAGGCTGAGGTGGGAGGATCACTTGAGCCCAGGAGGTCAAGGCTGCAGTGAGCCATGATCGCACCACTGCACTACAGCCTGGGCAACAGAACAAGACCTCGTCTCATAAAATAAAATGAGGCTAATATTTTAATGTATGTACCATGTGAGGTTTAACTTAGGAGACAGGTGGTCAAATCCCCTGGGTAGCACAGAGCCATTAGGTAAAAGACATATAACAAAGGTGGAGTATTCCCATCCTTGCCTAGTGCAGCTGACTTCCAAGTCACCTTGGAAAGTGGGTTTCCCAGTCAAAAGAGTTTGAGAAACAGATGCCTATCCCGGCTCTTGGAGATACACAAATCGCATTAACATATTAAAGATGCTAACAGATCCTGCAGGCAAGATTCCCTTTTAACTTCTTTGCAGTGGCACAGTCTCGGCTCACTGTAACCTCTGCCTTCCAGGTTCAAGTGGTTCTCCTGCCTCAGCCTCCTGATTAGCTGGGATTACAGGCATGCTCCACTACACCTGGCTAATTTTTGTATTTTTAGTAGAGATGGGGTTTTGCCATGTTGACCAGGCTGGTCTCAAACTCCTGACCTCAAGTGATCTGCCTGCCTTGAAGGCCTCCCAAAGTGCTGGGATTACAGGCATGAGCCACCACGCCCAGCCCCCTTTTAGCTTTAACCCAGCATTTCCCTAACTTTTTTGACCACCTAAGTTTTTGTTTCCACCTATTTACACCCCATGGAACAAACAAGACTTCAGGAAATGCTGAGTCCTGCCTCTTGTATTGCAATTGGGGAAACTGGGTAAGTCCTTTCTCCTCTCTGGACCTCAGTTTCCCCAATTACACTGCAAGGACTCATAATGAGTTTGTGGCAGAGCAAGGACTGGAACCCAACCCTGACCTGGGTGGCTGGGTCTCATTTCTAGTACGCCCTAACTGGTCCTGTCCCTCATATTGAATTAGGCACAAAAGAAGGGGAAGGCCCTCAGGGAAGAGGAAGAAGCCACATTTGAGAAGTAGGGGTGAGTACTCTTATTTTGAAAGAGAGGAAACTGAGGTTCAGAGAGGGGAGGCAACTTGCCTGAAGGCACACAGCAACTTGGTCCTGAACGCTCCAGAGGCAGTCGAGGCCACCTTCTCTCCTTCTTGGGGTGAGGGTACGAGGGTGGGGGTGGGATATTTCCTGTCTCAAAGCCTCAGGGCACACCCAACAGGGTGCTCACAGGGAGTCTTCCTGATCACATCCCCAGGTTCCAAGCTTCCTTCTGAACCCCTCTGAGGAGGCCCCTGAGTGTGACAACAGCGGCCCCTGGTGACCAATCTCCGGGACCTCAGCAGCCTTACCCTGTGCTAGCCAAGGGCAGATCTGTGGGATCCAAGGGGTGTACCCCCAAAACTAAGCGGTGCCAACAGAACGGGGACTCCCTAATGTCACTAAGAACCTTGAGGTGCTAAGAAGACCCTAAGCTGAGATCTGCGGACCTGGGTTTGAGTCCCCGCTCCAAACCCCAACCTCTCCTGCCCTTACCTGTTAGCAGCCATTACAGCCTGCTGCTATGGAGAAATAGAATGTGTGCCTGCTTTGGAAAGGCCAAAAACACTAAGTATATTTAAAAAAAAAAATCCTGCCACGCCCTAGAAAGGTTCAACTCCACCACATCCAGGCTATGTGTCCTTAGTCATGGGCATTTACTTGATTGGGTCTCACTTTCTTCATCTGTAAAATGGGGATACAAATTTGTACTTGTATCAGCATGATTTGGGCCAAATATCAGAAAATCCCCCTGACTCAACTGGTTTAAATGAGAAAGAACATTTATTCTCTGGAATAATCATAAGAAGCCTTAAGGCAGGGTGGCCTCACAGTTGGTTAAAGCAGCAGCTCAATGGTGTCATCAGGGACCAATGTCCTTTTCATCTTTGTGTTCTGTCAAGGCCCCTCAGGGGCACAAAGTGGCTGCTGCAGTTCCGGGTATCACATCCAGATGCAATAGTGACCAGCAACAGAGAGGACAGTCTTTTCCTAGATTTCTCTTACTTTCCCAGAAACTTTTCCCAGAATTCCCCCTCCCCCAGCAGACCTCCCCGCTTGTCTCATGGGGCAAAACTGGGTCACATGGCTATTCCCACACCGATACCTAGTAAGGGAAGGAGAGTCATGGTGATTGGCTCAGGTGTTGTAACAAAGAGGGGGCATGATTTCTAGGATGGTACAAACACTGGTTCATGAGCTCCCGCACACGGTTCCTGAGATTATGAATCCCAAACACTGAGCACGGCGTCTAACACATGGCAGTTGCCTTATCCATATTGCTTCCCCCTTTCTCTGATTCCCTCTAAGAACACAAGACTCCCAGCCTGGCCTCTCCTGAGCCAGCCTTCCACCCCTCAATCCTGGGGCTTGGGTCTCCACCAGTCAGTGCCTCTCCCATCCTGACCTCTGGCTCCATCACTGCCCTCCCTCTTATTTCTATCTCAAAAGCTTGGGATGAACAAAGATCACTTCGTTGTCCTCAGTGACACTGGATTCCTAAAGAATAAAAGATAGGAGATGCTAGATTCTTATATAAATGCTTTCACCAGGGAGCCAAAAATTAATAACAGCATGAACAGAGGCCTGGAGTATTTAACCACTCCATCCAGACAACTGAAATGATCCGAGTACACCGTTATCTGGGCGAGGTGCGGGGACTGACTGCCGACTACGACATTATCACATTCGGAAATGTCAGAAGCATGCATTTTGCAGGGAGATGAACGGTGTGGCTGAATATGGCTTTTGATTAAAACAAAATTCCCAGCATTCATCTAAAACAATAATAACAGCTAATAATAACAGGGCATGTAATAATGAACCATTCATAGGCATAAGAGGTAATTGTTCAATTAAGATCCCAGAGTTTCAGAGACTGTCTTTTCTGATGGGGTCCCTTTGTTTTTGCCTCCAGTAGCACTAATTCTTTCCCAGTAGTGCTTTAAACTTGGGAAGAAAAAAGCCCTCCTGTCAAATATGACATACAAGTGCCTTATCATTATTAAATACACATACATGCACACAATAAGCAGTCCTTGTTGGAATAAAGTTAGGGGTATGGCGCTCTCAGTGAATGCTGACAGGCTTGGGAGCTCCGTGAAAGTGACAGGCAAGAGCCTGGGCCTTCACTGCAGAAGTGGTCTGGCCTCGTTACCTCTCACTGCCCAGGGACCAGAGCGCTTTCTCTCCAGCATGGGTTCTGAAGACAGAATGCCTGGGTTCAGGTCCCAACTCCACTGCTTAGCATCCAGGTGCCCTGGGCAAGAGTCTTCATCTCTTTGAACCTGTTTCCTCATCTATAATACGGAATATAGTAGACATTTAGTTTTTTTGGCCTGCCTGTGTTCTATTTACTCTCTCTTCTAGTGTCTGTAACCATTAGCTATTGCTGCCTGCACTTAAAACACACACACACACACACACACAATCATAAAAAACCTGTGGTATCCAAAAACATTAATTTCTCATGCAGCTGCCGGGTTCCTCTGATCTCAGCTAGGTTGCCTGGGGTGACTTGGGTGTCTCTTATCCTCTTCCTGAGGGCTGGCCCTGGCATGTCTGCTAACATCCCATTGGTCAAGACAAGTCACATGCTCAACCCCGGGTATGGGAAATTATGCTTTGCCCTCGGTGGGAGGACATCACAAAGTTAGACTGCAAAGGGCACACAGGTCAGGAGAACGGAGAAGGGCATTTAAACTAAGGATGCTGCTTTTTTACAGTCTTCAGAGACGATGAACCTCCTGTCACAGGAGGTATGCAAACAGAGAGGTGTAGGCTTGGTGGTAAAAAGGGATCAAGCGTGGATATAGAGTTGGGATAAATTAATGATTCCCAAATATCAATCATTTCTATAACATAGTCATAATTTTCCCCATGAACGTTTATTCATTTAATATAGTTCCTTAAATCATCTAAGTATTCTTTTTTTATAAGCTATATTTTTATTATTAAATGACTTGCTTGTAAACTACACTTGAGACCACTACTTTATCTAGAAAACTGTATCATTTGCCATAAAGAGAAGGCTTTATTACTCTAAAAATAAAATGAAATTAAAATGTTTTTTATTTTATTTATTTATTTATTTTTGAGACACAGTCTCACTCTGTCACCCAGGCTGGAGTGAAGTGGCGCGATCTTGGCTCACTGCAACCTCCACCTCTCAGGTTCAAGTGATTCTCCTGCCTCAGCCTCTCGAGTACCTGGGATTACAGGTGCACACCACCACACCCAGCTGATTTTTTTTTTTTTTGTAGTTTTAGTAGAGATGGGGTTTCACCATGTTGGCCAGGATGGTCTTGAACTCCTGACCTAAGGTGATCCACCTGCCTTGGCCTCCCAAAGCGCTAGGATTACAGGCATGAGCCACCATGCCCAGCCACGAAATTAAAATGTTTTTAAGTTATTCCTAGATACCATGTCCTTCCAGAGGTTCTGAGCCTAAGGCTTTTCTCTATTTGAAAACAAAGATTAGTGAATGTTGGGAAGGCATTCAAACACAGAAGCACCAAACTGAGACCTTGATACAGTCAGGGAATACACAGAACTGAAAAGAGAATATGGGTTTTTTAAGTGTGATCCTATGTCCATTGTATCACCTGAGAATATTCTGGCATACCACCAGCGCATGTCCCACACTTTGAGAACATTGGGAAAGGTCATCTTTAAGATTTTACTGCAACAAACAAAATCCCAATGACTTGCAGATTTTTAAGTTCCCCCACACAGCTATTTAGTCATAGTCAATATCCAAATCATTGAATATTTAGAAAGATCACAGTTGGAAAAACTTACTACATGGCTAAAAGTGTACTCATAGGAAAATTCATAGCCAAAATTATTTCATTATAAAAAAATAAAAATAATTAGCCAGGAGATAGTGGCATGTGCCTGTAATCTCAGCTACTCAGGAGGCTGAGGCAAGAGAATTGCTTAAGCCTGGGAGGCGGAGGTTGCAGTGAGCCAAGATCATGCCACTGCACTCCAGTCTGGGCGACAGAGTGAGACCCTGTCTCATAAAATAAAATAATGAAAATAAATGAATTAAACACTCACCTTAGAAGTTACTGAGTCTTTTTGAGTTGGGAGGGTGTTTTGATTTTGTTGGCAGGCCCATCCCATCCGCCCCTAGAGAAGTGACCTCTTCACAGACCCAGAATGAGCCACAGCCATTCTTGATGACAATGTTGGGGTGGAGGGTGGACATTTGCAAAAAGGACTGTAGTAGATGCTACTGGTTGCCTAGGCAATATCAATTCGCACATCCTCTTTCTCATAGAACCCAGACCTGGCTGGAGTCACTTCCTTCCTCCATATCGCCATCTGCTTCTTTAGGCCAATTGCTGTTTCCTGCCTGCTGATTGGCTGAAGCGTGGGACACATGACACAATTCTGGTCAATAATACAAGAGGAGAGGCCAGCTAGGACACTTCAGGGAAAAAGAGACAGGAAGAGCTGTCTTCCCTTCTACTGAATGAGACTGAATCTGGATGTGATGTCTGGATCAAGGGCACCATCTTGTGTCCTTGAGGAAAGCTGGTGTAACAAAAAAGCCAGCACACCAGGCGGGCGTTGCCTCGCACAGTGCCTGACGCGTGGTTGGAATCCATACTTAAATGCTGAAGGAGTACATGAGGGACAGAACTGGGTCCTTAATGAATCACAGAGACCCTGAATTTATCAGCCTTAATATCCTCCCTAACTTGGGATATCCTGCTGACACAATTAATATCCTTTTTTTTCCCAGCCAGTGTAGGTTTTCTGTTACTTGCTGCCCAAATCACGTAACTATATGAATACTACAGCCACAATTCTCTCTTCTTCCTCACTGATTTGGGTATTGATTATTTATGATTCAACTGCTGCCTGGGGGAATATTTTTTTTTTTTTGGAGACAGAGTCTCGCTTATTGCCCAGGCTGGAATGCAGTGGCGCGATCTCAGCTCTCTGCAACCTCTGCCGCTGCCCCCTCAACCACCCCTGATGGGGCTCAAGCAATTCTCTCACCTAGCTAGAATTACAGGGGTGCCCCACCATGCCCAGCTAATTTTCATATTTTTAGTAGAGACAGGGTTTCACCATGTTGGCCGGGCTGGTCTGGAACTCCTGACCTCAACTGATCTGCCCACTTCGGACTCCCAAAGTGCTGGGATTACAGGCATAAGCCACCGTGCCCAGCCTGCCTGGGGGAATTTAATGGGTCCCAGGAATCACTTGATCATCGAAAAGCATGTGCCCATTTTACAGATAAGGAAACTGAGGCTCAGAGCATTTCTAATCTACCCACAAATACCCAGAAGAATTCCTGAGGCAAGACTCAAATCAGTTCTCTTGAATCCAAATCCAGAGCTTTTTTTTTTTTTTTTTTTTTTTTTTGAGACAGAGTTTTGCTCTTGTCACCCAGGCTGGAGTGCAATGGTGAGATCTTGGCTCAATGCAACCTCCACCTCCCAGGTTCAAGCAATTCTCCTGCCTCAGCCTCCCAAGTAGCTGGGATTACAGTTGCGCAACCACCATGCCTGGCTAATTTTTATATTTTTAGTAGAGATGGGGTTTCACCGTATTAGCCAGGCTGGTCTCGAACTCCTGACTTCAGGTGATCTGCCTGCCTTGGCCTCCCAAAATGCTGGGATTACAGGCATGAGCCACCGCACCTGGCCCAAATCCAGAGCTTTCTAGGACATTCCCCCACATGCCAACATCCCCCCTCACTATCCCTGCTCGTTTCAAGGGCACCCAAGGCAAAATAGGCCCCCTCCTTGTCCCAAACAACCAGCTTCAAGGGAAGATCCAGGTGGCCATCTTGTCTTCTGACCAACCCAGAGGAAGAACCCAACAGCAACAACTTAAGAGTGTTTTCACTTCAATCAGAGTAGAGAAAAAGGAAAAGAGTGTTTCTCTCTCTGCCCCAACCTTCTGCCCTTCTCGAAGTTGAGACCCAGGGGCTCAATCACGTGGCTGCTCCTTCCCAGAGCCTGACCTGAGGGAAAAATGTTTGCAGCCTCCAGAGAGCTGACCTGCCACTCTTAGCTGGGGTTCCCTGTGGTTCTGGGGAGGTTCACCAGGAAGCACCCTGTCACCCGGACCTGAAGACTGGCTCAGGCGCAGCCTTTGACACAACCTGTCTAATCAGAATGACTCTGGGGACGCCTGTTGAGAGCGCTGGCTGAGGACCCCCTGTCTGGGTGTAGGAATAGATAAAAAAGCATGGAGCCCTGGGAATAACTGGGCTACTCCTGGACCACGAGGGGTACAATCTGCTCCTGGAGGGCAACGTAGAAGGAGGTGGGGGGTTGGAGCCCCCTGGCCAGCCTTGGTGGTAATCTGAGTCCTCCCTCCTGCTCATGGAGATTGGTAGACTCATGTCCCTCCTGCCACTGACTCTCCCCTTCTGACAGATGAAGAGGTAGAGGCCCAGAGAGGTAAAGTGACTCAACCAACATTCCCTGAACCAAATAACCCATTGCCAATGCAAATTCAGGACTGCTCAACCCAAGCCCCATGATATTTTCCACTGCAGCTGCCCTTGGCCTTGGTCTCCTCCAAGACCCAAGCTCTTCTTGACTGAAGCTTCAGAAGGACGCGAGATCCCAGCTGGAAGCTGGACCCAGAGCTAGGAGGCCATGGGAAACTAGCTGGCTGTGGCTTCCTTGGCTCTAGGGTGGTGGCAGCAGGGTGGGTGTTTGTGGGGTCCCTCCTCCTGCCAGGAGGTCTGGAGCTGCCTCGGAGCTTGACTGGTGTTGGGTATGACCCCAGGCGAATGGCTGCCCTGGTAAGGTGATATAGTTTGGCTGTGTCCCCACCCAAATCTCCTCTTGAAGTGTAGCTCCCACAATTCCCACGTGTCATGGGAGGGACCTGGTAGGAGGTAATTGAATCATGGGGGCAGGTCTTTCCTGTGCTGTTCTCGTGATAGTGTCACAAGAGCTGGTGGTTTTATAAAGGGGAGTTTCCCTGCACAAGCTCTCTTCTCTCTTGCCTGCTGCCATGTAAGACGTGCCTCTCGCTTTCTGCCATGATTGTGAGGCCTCCCCAGCCACATGGAACTATGAATCCATTAAACCTCTTTTTCTTTATAAATTACCCAGTCTCGGGTATGCCTTTATCAGCAGCGTGAGAACAGACTAATACAGAAGAGAAGAGGGTCAGCCTCACCTCCGGCTCATGGCTCACAGCTCCAGGTGGCATGTGGCCCTGTGGACAGACACAGGCAGGCAGTCCTCAAGGAGGCACCATCCCACTTAGCCAGGAGCACCATGACCCCCACCCATCCCAGCTCCACAAGCACTGCCAATCGCCCCTGCCACCATGGTCCTCACCACAGCGACCCGCATGCACACCCAGCACCCTGCTGACACTCCAGGCTCACCCACTGCCACGCCTGCTCCGTGCTGCCTGGCAACCATCCTCCCGCCTAGCAGGACAGCCCTCCCAGTATAATTGTCCCCTGATGAGCACCAGAGTCCCCGCACCTGCACTGTCAACCCCTGGCCAGCGTTACTCTCCCCTGCCCAAATGTACTGTCTCCATGGGGATCATTATCCCCCAGCCAGCACTACTGTCACCCCCACCAGCATCACTCTCGCCCTGCCAACATGACTCTCCCTGGCCAGCATTATTACCCCCACCAGCATCACTCTGCTCTCCTCCCTCCACCCCCACCTTCCCCACAGCCACACCAACCTCAGCCACCTCTCAGGCCACCACCACCACCATCACAACCACCCAGTCCAGCCCCCAACCACCAACACTCTAAATGCCTCCCGGTCAGGACTTCTGCCCTCACTCTCACCCCTGCCCCTGGCTCCCCCCAGGCATTTCCTAGCTCTCCCATCTCCCTCGCTGCAGTCTCATGCCTGTTACCATCCCTCCCACCCCTGCCATCATCCTGCCATCTCCACCGTCAATGAATAAACATTTATTGAGCACCGGCAAATCCCAGACACTACAGAACACACAGAAGGCATGGCCCCACGCCGAGGGCCCCAGCCCCTTGCAAAGCTGCCACGCTGCCAAAAATGGTGGCGCATGCAGCTCAGGCGCAGGCTGAGGCTGGGGCTTGGCCGGGCAGTGCACTTGGAACGGGGTCCTAAGGCCTCTGCCAGGTTCCAGCTGGGGCAGGGGTCACGTCGCTTCCTGAGAGCAGAGCAAATAAATAATGGAGAGGCAGGGGCTGGGGCCTGAGGTGGAGGGGCTCTGGCGTTGGCTTATGTGACTCCATAGGAGCAAGACAGGTGGCCGGGAGCCCCCACCCCAGGGTGGGGAGGCAGAGCCAGGGGACCACAGGGTCCTGGGGCCTCCCTGGCACCTCCACTGGTCCCTCGCCTCTGGGGCCAAAGCAGGGTGTGGGGGGACACCCCAGAAGGCACTGCTGAAATGCGGCTGGACTAGAAATGAGTGGGCAGAGAAGCTGGGGCTGGGCTGCAGTCCCTAGAGCGGGGCGTCATCAGTCCTCCACTTGCGGGGGTAACCCTGCTGGTGGCCATCGCAGCGGGGGTTCCCCATGCTGTCCAGAGGCACCACCACCTCGTCCGGGTTCGAGTTCTTGTTCAGTTCCACCACGCGGGGTACCACCGAGGACCAGCGATCTGCACCGAGAGCACATCAGAGGGAGGGGTGGGGGTTGGTGGAGAGAGAGCGTGCGTATATTGAGTGCCTACTGTGTACTGGGCACTCCACAGTGTTCTGAAGGGGGGATGTGACTATGCTCATTTTACAGAGGTGGAAACTGGGGCTCAAGAGAGGTCAAGGTGCCTCCCCAGGAGAGAATGGAGGAACCAGGATTCAAGCCTGGAGCCGAATGCCCTGAGTGCCTGTGTCCTCTCCAGCTGCGTCTCGCGTGCTCATGGCTTACTGGACAAACAGGAAGGTTTTCTCCACACAGGGATGGCTGAGGAGCTCGTCCTCCCTCCCCAGGCCAGCTTATGTCAACAGTAGGGAGGGCCAGGATGAAGCCACGTAGGTGAGGTGCCCCAGGCATTCACAAGCAGCAGAGGAAGCTCAGGGGCACACTCTCTCATTCTGTAGACACGGACACTGAGTCCCGGAAAGAAGCAGGACTGCTCAAAGCAAATTCGTGATGAGAATGGACTGGGGCTCCCCTCCGCACCCGCCCCTCCACTCACCCCTGCGGAGGCGGCCCACGGTATGCGAGAAGCCATAATACTGGTAGGTCTCATTCTTGCCCGGGTCCTCGTTGATGATGCCCAAGTTCTGGTTCCAGTGAGACCAGTTCACCTCATCCACCCTGGCAGGGCCCAAGCAGAGGGTCATGGGGAACCCCTCAGAGACGCTCTCCATGCCACCATCCCCAGCACACCCTCCTATTTTTTTATTATGGTAACATATACATAACAAGGCTGGGCGTGGTGGCTCATGCCTGCAATCCCAGCACTTTGGGAGGCCGAGGTGGGTGGGTCATTTGAGGTCAGGAGTTCGAGACCAGCCTGGCCAACATGGTGAAACCCCACCTCTACTAAAAATTAAAAAAAATTAAAAAAAAAATTAGCGGGGCATGGTGGCGGGTGCCTATAGTCCCAGTGACCCGAGAGGCTGAGGCAGGAAAATCACTTGAACCTGGGAGGCAGTTGCAGTGAGCCGAGATCACGCCACTGCACTCCAACCTGGGGGACAAAGCAAGACTCCATCTCAAAAAAAAAAAAAAAAAGACGTGTGTGTGTGTGTGTGTGTGTGTGTGTATACACACACAAAAAATTTGCCATCTTAATCATTTTTGAGTATACAATTCAGTGGCATTAAGCACATCCACATTGTGTGACCATCACAGCTATCTATTTCCAAAATTCTTCCATTCCCCCAAGCAGAAATTATTTTTTTTAACCTTCTTTTGAGACAGGGTCTCACTCCATTGCCCAGGCTAGGGTGCAGTGGCACGATCACAGCTCACTGCAACCTTGACCTCCCAGGCTCAAGTGATCCGCCCACTTCAGCCCCCCATGTAGCTGGGATTACAGGGATATGCCACCACACCTGGCTAATTTTTTAAAAACGTTTTGTAGAGATGGGGTTTCACTATGTTGGTCTTGAACTCCTGGGCTCAAGCAATCCTCTTGCCTCGCTTCCCAAAGTGTTGGTATTACAGTCACCACGCCTGGCCCAGATAATATTTCACTGTACACATAGCCCACATTTTGTTTATCCACTCATTTTTTTATATATTATCTTTTTTTTTTACATATTATCTTTAATTTTTTATCCTATCTATTCATTTTTGTTTGTTTGTTTTAAGGCAGAGTCTTGCTCTGTCCGCCAGACTGGAGTGCAGTAGTGCAATCTCGGCTCACTGCAACCTCCACCTACCAGGTTCAAGCGATTCTCCTGCCTCAGCCTCCCGAGTAGCTGGGATTACAGGTGCATGCCACCACTCCCGACTAATTTTTGTATTTTTAGTGGAGACAGGGTTTCACCATGTTGCCCAGGGTGGTCTCAAACTCCTGACCTCAGGTGATCCACCCACCTTGGCCTCCCAAAGTGCTGGGATTACAAGCACGAGCCACCACACCCAGCCAAGATTTGAGCTTTGGATTCAAACTGAACAGAGGCTGGGTGTGGTGGCTCACGCCTGTAATCCCAGCATTTTGGGAGGCTGAGGTGGGAAGATCGCTTGAGACCAGGAGTTTGAGACCAGCCTGGGCAACATAGCAAGAACCCCATCTCTACAAAAAAATTAAAAATTGGTCGGACATGGTGGCATGAGGAGGCTGAGGTGGGAGGATCGCTTGAGACCAGGAGTTGGAGGCTGCAGTCAGCTATGATCACACCACTGCACTCCAGCCTGAGCAACCCTGCCTCTAAAAACAAACAAAAAATGGAATTGAACTGATCGGATGGCCTAGGAGGTGGGTTCTATTATTGTTCCCATTTCACAGATGAAGAAACTGACTTTGTCTGACTCCAAACATTCTGCTTATGCTCCATGCTGACAACCACTTTACAATGAATGAATCAACTGGAAAGAAAAGATTCATGAAGGGGTTCCCCTAAGAAGCTGGCACTCCCTGTGCCTCTGGAACACGGAGTCATTCTGCAGATGGGCTGGGTGAGGTCTCCAGCCCTGGAAACTGCACATTCCTCAGCTTCCCATTTCACCGAGGGCACTAGAGCTCACCCCACTGTTTGGTAGATACAGGGTGATGCTCTAAAATGAACCCACCATCCAAGTCTCTGCTTCCCCCTGAGCAAGAACAGGGGAGCCTGTGGCGTCCCGATGCGCGTCGGGCACTGGCTGAGCACTTCTCACGTGCTGACCTGTCTAATCCGCACCGCCAGCCTAGGAGCCCGTGAGATCATTGTCTCATTCCACAGATGAAGAAACTGAGGCTGAGAGAGGTGGGCTGACTTGCCTGAGATCGCCTGGTGGAAATGAACTCTGCTCGGGCCTCTTGGGGCCTCAGTGGCTCCAGAAATTGCAATGGGTAGACGACGCTGGAGCAGCAGGGGCCCCGAGCCAGTGGGGACAGTTCCGCCCTGCCATCCTGGCCCCACTGCCCCAGCCTCACCTGAAGCACCACCTGCGGTCAGGAGTGCCGTCCGAGCTCTTGCCCACGGTGACCATCTCCCCAGAGCGGAAGGCCTTCCTCAGGAATACGGGGAAGGAGCGCTCAATGTCCAGGATGGTGGTGGCCCACTGCGGGGAGGGAGGGTCAGGAGGGACATCGGTGAGCCTCACAGCCTGCGCCTGCCGCTCTGGTGGCAGAAATGAGACAACGGGCCAGGGTGGGCCCAGAACTAGGCATTTAGACTCCTACTCCCCACTAGACACAGGGTTTATAAACTCAAATACCCACAGGTGGCAGGCAGGAAAACAAATGGGTGAAACAGGATCAGGTGCAGAAAGGCTGCCGCCCAAGCCCTATCACACTTACACAGCAGTTGCCTCTCAGTGAGGGAGGGGTAGAGACTGGGGAGAACAGGGAGCAAATGCCCACGTGTAAGGGGGCAGCTGCCACTCACCCCACCTGAGGGCTGCCAGGCAGGAATCCGGACCCTGCACTGCCTGGAGCTTCCAACTTTTCAAGAAAAGC
Organism: Homo sapiens; assembly: GCF_000001405.40. Classification (NCBI taxonomy): domain Eukaryota; kingdom Metazoa; phylum Chordata; class Mammalia; order Primates; family Hominidae; genus Homo; species Homo sapiens. Next base: position 109,787,235 of record NC_000012.12, read on the forward strand.
CAGAAATCTGGGTTTTCATAGGGAATCTCTTAATTTTTAAATTTTGCAGTTTTTTGTTGTTGTTGTTGTTTTTAATATAATGGTCTGATGCTGGGTGCAGTGGCTCACACCTGCAATCTCAGCACTTTAGGAGGCCAAGGCAGGTGGATAGCTTGAACTCAGAAGTTCAAGACCAGCCTGGGCAACATGGTGAAACCCCATCTTTACAAAAAATACAAAAATTAGCCGGGTGAGGTGGTGCACACCTTAGCCCCAGCTACTCGGGAGGCTGAGGACAGAGAATCACTTGAGCCTGGGAGGCAGAGGTTGCAGTGAGCCAAGATCACACCATTGCACTCCAGCCCACAGGATGCCCAGTTTGCATCCTGTGAGTAATGCCCAGTGGGGAAACTGAGGCCCAATGAAGTAAGCAATATAGATAAAGGTTAAGAGCAGGCCAGAGCTGTTTCCCTCAGACCCAGTCCTGGGAGGACAACCTTGGGCCCTTTTTTCTCACTGCACCATTTTCCTGAAATGCACAGTCAAGGTAAACACGGGTGCTGTATTCCTGGGCCGTGGGGCAGCACTGTTTATTAGGACACCAGGTTTGTAGGCTGCACCTGGCCTGGGAGGGCTGTGATCCCAGGGCCTGTTCTTTCCAGGATTGCATAGAAAGCTTTTGGTAAGTAAAAACTTTCTGCAGCTCCCCGGGCCAAGGCGGCCCCTGTCCCCATTGGTTTCTCCTCTAGGAAGCATGCTCACAGTTGCTAGAAAAAGACCCCCATGAGAATGCTGACATCCCTGTGCTGGAGTGCTAGAGCACAAAAGCTGCCCCTGGGCTCAGCGTGGGACCCCTGCTGAAACGCTGATGCCCACGGAGCACTTTCTGAGCCGGCAGAAGTCACTCAGTCATGCTAGGTGGAGCCGACTGTGTCCTGTGAGCTGGACCACAAGGAGAATCTGAGCCCACTGCTGGCAGCCAGGCAAGAAGCCACCTCAAAATTCACTAGGCAGCTCTGGGAAGTCAGCAGCAGCCTCTGATGCCCATTTTACCGACAGAGAAGTGGAGGGAGAATGAGAAGACACTGCTTGCTCAGAGTGGAAGGCCGAGGAAGCCAGTCGGGTGGGTCTCCTCGGAAGGACGAGGGTGGCTGGTAGAGTGGGGCTGGGGGCCCTGGGGCCTCACCTGCAGCTTCCAGATGTGCTTGCTCTCCTTGGAGACCTGGCCCACTGTCTCGCCCATGAGGGCAATGAGCATGTTGAGGAGCAGCACAAAGGTGAGGATGATGTAGGTCACCAGCAGGATGATGAAGACCACGGGGTACTTGGTGCTGCTCAGCATCTCCAGGTCGCCCATGCCGATGGTCAGCTTAAACAGGTCCAGGAGGAAGGTGCTGAAGGTCTCGCTGTCACGGCACGAGGGGTAAGTGGGCACTGTGCAGTTGGTCTGGTCCTCATTGCACACCTTCATGTTGGCACACGGGTTCAGGAGGGAGACCAGGGCTGTGGGAGGATAGGGGTGGCACTCACTGAGTGTGAGCACACCCACAGAGAGGTGGAGGGTGTCATTCTCATTTGCTGGAGGAGAAAGCTGAGGCCTAGTGAGCGGAGCACGCTGGCCCACACGCTGACCCATGTCACCCTACACATCAGCCAAGCCACACCAGACCCAGGTCCTCCTGATCCCAAAACCTTTGAAGCCTTTCCATAAACTCTTGCTGATAAGGAAGAGGTTATCTCTCTCTCTCTCTCTTTCTTTCTGAGATGGGGTCTTGCTATGTTGCCCAGGCTGGAGTGCAGTGGCTACTCACAGGCTCAATCCCACTACTGATAAGCGTAGGAGTTTTGACCTGCTCTGTTTCCAACCTGGGACAGTTCACCCCTCCTTACACAACCTGGTGGTTCCCTGCTACCGGGAGGGAAAAGGTTTTCAGGATCTAGTCCAGGGAGGGTCTCAGTTTTTCCCACCAGGGGACATTTGACAATGTCTAGAGACATATTTGGTTGTTACAACTGGGGGTGGGGGTGCTACTGGCATCAGGTGGGTGGAGGCCAGGGGTGCTGCCTGACACCCTACAATGCACAGGATGGTCCCCGCCACGAAGAATGATCTGGTCTCAAATGTCAATAGTGTTGGGAAATCCTAATGCGGCCTACCATTCTTAGAGGTCTTGGGGGCTCTGGAATGCCCCTATTCGCAGGGGTAGACTCTCTCTCTGACAGTTTCCCACTCCACCCCAACCCAGAGAGGAAAAGTGGGGGCTGAAACCAGGCATCAGTCCTGACTGTCCCCAAAGCCGTGTTCTCTAAGGGGCCTCTCCTGCTCTAGACATCTCAAACTCATCATGGTTCTCCTTTCCTACTAAGCCCAGGTGGAGCTTCAGATTCCTTCTCAACACAGTTTGGCAGCAACAACCTGTCCCTAAACCAGCCAGGGAGGGGAGCATGAAGAAGACTCAGTCCCATCAGTCAGTGGGGCACAGAATGTCATACTGCCTGCAACCAGGGATTAGAGTATGCAGATTTCAACTCATATGCTAATGTTCTTCAGTTGTATAGTACCTGGTGAAACACTGTGTTGAGAAGGATTCTGAGACCTTGTCTGGACTCACCGGAAAAACTGTTCTGTGATCCATTAGTGATGTCTGCTATGGACACCAAAGTGTGGGAACAGAAGCATGTGTGTCCTGTTTATGTCATGTCAGCCTCAGAATTGAGATCTAGTGCATCCTATAAGGAGAAGACCTGCAACCAAGCTGACTGCTAAGCTGCTACTCTAACCCTTGTTTCTCCTTAGTTTCAATAACTAGGACTGCAGTAGGGCTAGATCCCTGACCTGAATCCCAAACTGTTGTTGAACCCTTGACACTGTCTAGTTTGTCCAGTGTGATCCCTGGGAAGGGAAAGCTGTACCCTGTCCCTATCTCCCCAGTGAAAACTACAATTCCACTTCCCACCAATAATCTACCTAGAGACTTGGCCACTATCGTGGGTTAAAATATCACCCTTGTCAGATTCCTGTGCCAGGCTCGTCCCCAGATGAACCTGCTCAGATGTGTATGTGTCCAGGTCTAACCTGAGTTGGCCATTCCCCTTTGGATGCTGGGCATTGATGTCAGATTACCCACACCTCGGGGATCAGCCCAAGGACTTGGTCAGTTTCTCCAGCCCTGGTCCCTGGTCCTTCTCCCATGACCCATGCCACTGAGGTCCCAGAATGCTTCTTAGTGGCATCATGACATCACGAAGAAGGTATATCAAGGGAGCTGATGTTGGGCTTTAAGAAAATACCTGGGCTGCTAGTTTAATTATTAAATTTTATCCTTCCATGTATCCATCCTCCTTCAATGTGGCTTTACAGCTTCTCCCACTAAGAAGTGGAGTCTAGGCCAGGTGCAGTGGCTCGCGCCTATAATCCTGCACTTTGGGAGGCTGAGGCAGGAGGACTGCTTGAGCCCAGGAGTTCAAGACCAGCCTGGGCAACATAGCAAGACCCTGCCTCCACCAAAAAAAAAAAATGGAAAAAAAGAAGTGGCGTCTATTTCCCCATCCCTTGAATCGAGGCTGGCCTTGTGACTTGCTTTGGCCAACAGAGTAAGGCAGCAGTGATGCCATGCCAGGAGGTGTCCTTGAACACTTCTGCTCATGTTCTTGGAACCCTAAGGCCACCATGTGGACAAGCCCAAGCTAGCTGTCCAGAAATGAGTGACCATGTGGAAGATAGATAGCAAACCCCCTCTAACCAAGTCCATACTAGCTAGACCAGTCAGCCAGCAGCCAGCCTGCCAGCTGACCACAGGCACAAGAGCCTGTAGGGATCAGCCAAACCTGGCCCAGGGCAGCACAGCCACCCAGCTGACCCATTGACTCATAAGCAATAGTAAGTTGGCCTGGTACAGTGGCTCACGCCTGTAATCCCAGCACTTTGGGAGGCCAAGGTGGGTGGATCACTTGGGGTCAGGAGTTCGAGACCAGCCTGGCCAACATAGTGAAACCCCATCTCTACCAAAAATATAAAACTTAGCCATGCGTGGTGGCACACGCCTGTAATCCCAGCTATTCGAGAGGCTGAGGCAAGAGAATCGCTTGAACCCAGGAGGCAGAGATTGCAGTGAGCCAAGAGCACCACTGCCCTCCAGCCTTGGTGACAGAGTGAGACCTTGCCACAAAAAAAATAATAATAATAAGTGGGTGCTATTTTAAGCCCCACTTTAGGTGGCTTCCTTTGTAGCAATAGCTAATACTCCAGTTTTGCCATTCACCAGCTTTTTTTTTTTTTTTTTTTTTGAGACAGAGTCTCGCTGTGTTGCCCAGGCTGGAGTGCAGTGGTGCCATCTTGGCTTACTGCAACCTCCACCCCCTGGGTTCAAGCGATTCTTGTGCCTCAGCCTCCCGAGTAGCTGGGTCTATAGTTGCGCGCCACCATGCCTGTCTAATTTTTGTATTTTTTGGTAGAGACGGGGTTTTGCCATGTTGGCCAGGCTGGTCTCAAACTCCTGACCTCAAGTGATCTACCCGCCTCAGCCTCCTGAAGTGCTGGGATTACAGATGTGAGCCACTGCGCCCGGCCACCATTCACTGGCTTTTGAACTTGTGCTAGTTATTTAACCCTCCTAAGCCTCAGTTTCCTTTTCTATAATAGGGGATAATAAAGGCACTTAGCTTACAGGCTTGTTGGGAGGCAAGGATGGAAACGTACTTAGTCTGGTGCCTGGCACACAAATAAGAACTCAGTGGCCAGGCGCGTTGGCTCACACCTGTAATCCCACCATTTTGGGAGGCCAAGGAGGGTGGATCACCTGAGGTCAGGAGTTCAAGACCAGCATGGCCAACATGGTGAAACCCCATCTCTACTAAAAATACAAAAAAAAAAAAATTAAAAAATAGTGGGGCGTGGTGGCAGGAGCCCGTAATCCCAACTACGTGGGAGGCTGAGGCAGAATTACTTGAACCTGGGAGGTGGAGGTTACAGTGAGCTGAGATTGTGCCATTGCACTCCAGCCCGGGCAACAGGAGCAAAACTCCACCTCAAAAAAAAAAAAAAAAAAAAAAGAACTCAGCAAGGCTGCTATTGTCCCCTATACATCATGGCTACTGTTCCCGTCCTTGCACCACCCCTGCCAGGACCACCTGAGCACCCAGAGCTCACCTGAAGCGTAGCCGATCATGAAGAGCAAGTAGACGAGCAGGAATCGGAAAAGGTCCTTGAAGAGAATCTAAAGACCCCAGCGGGATTATGGAGGCAAAGAGGAGACACATGGTTTCTCACTTTCCCCATTCCTCCATCTCCACCCTGGTCCCACCCCAGTGTCCAGACCATGCCTCCTGCCCCCACGGTACCCAGCATCCTCAGGTCTGCAGGTGCATAAGTGTGCATGTGGTGTGTGTGTGACTCCCTCCAGGAACACACGAGTCCAGAGGGTCCTCCCAGCCCGTACCTTCTGGATCATGATGCTATAGGTCCCCGTCAGCTTCAGCCCACGGGTGAAGTAAAGGGCATTCATCCAGCCCAGGACCAGGGCAAAGACCATCACGGCCAGGTAGGCCTCGATCCCTGCCAGGTAGAGGGCTGCTGAGACGATCACCAGGACAGAGTAGATGAAGCTGCAGTGCAGCAGAGACCACAAGAGAGGCCAGAGGGGAGAGGGGACAATGAGGCTCTGGAGGGGAAGACACGCCTCCAAGCCCTCCAGGGTATCAGGACTTCCCAATGCCTTCTAGACCCCCAGAAAAGAAACAAAGTGGATTAGCAGGGTTCCCCAGCATTCTGTTAACAAGAACATTCAATTAGCTGGCAATTAATCCTGAGGTCCCACAGGATCCTGAAGTGATGCCCCTTGGAATTGCTAAAGAAAGATTTAGTGGTGTTCAGTGGAGATTTTGTGGCTAAGTGAATTTCATCATTCTCCAACTCTAAGGGAAATGTGAAAGAGGTAACACACACTCAGTAACTCTCTCATTCTCTGTCCCAGGCAGACATCATTAATCAATCCCAACTCTTTCCCACTAAACACAGACACAGGTGCAAAATTCTTAACATGGCACTTCAGGCAGACATTAGCAATCATTCACCAGCATAAGAGGTTAAAATTATTTCTATCCATGTTGTATATGATAACTCCCTAGCAATCAGAATTTTTCTTGAACCAGAAGACCCTATTGTTTGTGGCTTTGTCCTGACTTTGGGTTAGAGCTGCCCAGGTTGGGTGCATTCATTTCTAACAGAATCACCTCTCTCCTGAATCTGGACGACCTAGCAGCCCAAACCCACCTTCCTCACCCAGAAGCTGCCGGCCCAGGGACCTCTACTCACTAGAGCAGCTGGAAGGAGCCATCAATGAAGAGAGAATTCACTCCAGGGCATTTCTTCATGAACAAGTCTTTGATCTGGAAGACAGGAGGGGGCACGTGAAAGGGGTGGGGCCAGCAGGAGAGGAGAGGAGGAGAGAGGAGACAGAGAAAGGGATAGAAGAGAGGGAGGCAGAGGCTGGTACAGAGAAAAGACAAAGGACTCTTTCCTGTTAGAAAAGGAGAAAAAAGCAGAGATGGAGAACGTGGGATTGGAGGAGGTAGAAGAGAAATGGGAAAATAAAAGGAGGAAGGAAAGGAGAAGGACCATTTGGAGGAGAGAGAAGAGAAAAAGAGGGAGAGAAAAGAGGTGCAGGAAGAGAAGAGGAGGGCAGGCAGGGTGGGGGGCACGGGGGCCAGGCACTTACGTTGGTGAAGAAGAACAGGACCCCAGTGAAGAGCGTAATGACCTCGCCAGCCAGCCGCAGGTAGTCCACCGTGGTGCGGTAAGGGTACGGCGGCTGGGGAGCAGCAAGGGCACACAGGTCGTCACCCAGCCCCTCCAACATCTGGCCCCCAATCCAGATGTTCCCCCAGGCCCGAAACATCGGCATCCCATGGAGCCTCCTCCTTCACTCTCTTCCTCCTGAGTCTTCCTCCTCCCAGCTCAGGGCCACCCGTGGATGCTGGAGGGCGCCTCCCCAACCTGTTCCTAAACCTTCTCCGGGTCCCCCTACAGGGGACCCAGAAGGATGAGGTTGTGCCCCAGTCCTGCATGGCTCAGCCCAGTGCCTGCCCCAGCCCCTGCCCGGTCCCCGGGCACTCACTGTGCCCTCCAGCGGCTGGTAGTAGGCGGTGAGAGTGAAGATGACCATGGCACACAGGTAGGAGACCACGTTGATGTAGAAGGAGACGGCCCCGAACTTGCGCCACTTGTCCCGCAGCAGTTCATTGATGGGCTCCACAGCCAGCATCTCGTGGCGGTTCTAAGAGAGGCAGGGTGGTCGGGGGCTGCCTTCCTGAGATGGGTGGGGGGTCCAGGCAGGCTGCCTCGGGTGTGCCTTCCCCCACCCTCCACCCGGACAGCGCTTTCTCTTTCCATCCATTCCTCAGCTGCATTCACGGATTCATGAATGGATTCAGCTGCCCAATTCTGCCTCAATGTACCTTTCCACCCTATTCTAGCATCACAGAACTCGGAACTGGAAAGTCCCTTAAAAGACATTTATTTTCAGGCCGGCCGCAGTGGCTCATGCCTGTAATCCTAGCACTTTGGGAGGCCAAGACAGGCGGATCACCTAAGGTCAGCAGTTCAAGATCAGCCTGGCCAATGTGGTGAAACCCTGTCTCCACTAAAAACACAACAATTAGCCGGGCGTGGTGGTGCACACCTGTAATCCCAGCTACTCCTAAGGCTGAGGCAGGAGAATCACTTGAACCTGGGAGGCGGAGATTGCAGTGAGCCTAGATCGCACTACTGCACTCCAGCCTGGGCAACAAGAGTGAGACTCCATCTCAAAAAAGAAAAAAAGACATTTATTCTCATGGTTCCCAAACTCCAATCTGTGGATAGTACCAAGCTGCTGGCCGCAAAATAATTTATGTAACTTGCTGCAAGTATAAATCCTGGCCTCCGCTCTCAGAAATTCTGATTCAGAGAGAAAGATTGAGAAATTTTGCCCAAAGATGATAAATGATTGACTCACCACAATTCTCCAATTCTGAACCCAGGGCAGACATCAATAATTGAGCCCTGCACAATTGTATTCATACAGTTCCCTGGGTAGACACTACTAATCAATCAGTTTGCACCTGAGATGCTAAACCTCCTGCCACCACTAATTTAAATCAAGATGGTCACTAATTCAAAAAATGAGGGAAATGAGGTCTTGCAAGGAAGCCAAGCTCACAGACCAGTAAGCCACAGGGCAGGGCTAGAAGGAAGACCACCTGCACCCAGTCCCCAGCATTTTCTGCTCCATTTTTATAGCTTCCTAGCCCTTTATTAACTTGAGTTTCTCTATAATCATGATTTGTGCAATAAAGCAGCCACAGAGATGCTCTTATAGTGTTATTCCTGATAAAGGCAGAAACAAACCCAAGCGACCAGCAATAAGAGAACAGTTCATTTGAATATGGTATGTTTACATGCAGCGACAATATTACCAAAGAATATTTAAAAGTACAGAACGACGTTCACAAAATACTGCTAAGTAGGGAAAAAAAAGCTTGGTTTTTTGTTTGTTTGTTTGTTTGTTTATTTTGAGACAGGATCTCACTCTGTCACCCAGGCTGGAGTGCAGTGGCATGATCTCGGCTCACTGAAGCCTCGACCTCCCCAGGCTCAGGTGATCCTCCCACCTCGCCTCCCAAGTAGCTGGGACTACAGGCTCGCACCACCATGCCTAGCTAATTTTCATTTTTATTATTTTTTTTTGGTAGAGACGGGGTTTCGCCATATTGCCCAGGCTAGTCTCAAACTCCTGGCTTCAAGCAATCCGCCCACCTTGGCTCCCCAAAATGCTAGAATTACAGGCATAAGCCACCATGCCTGACCGAAAAAAAAGAGCTTTCAAAAGTTCATATAACAACCATGAGTAGTAAAAGCTGACATAATGTTTACTCTGTGCCAAGCCATTCTAAAATTAACCTCTTTGGTCCTCCCAAGAACCCCATGGGATATCCATGATCCTTATCCCCAGGTTACAAATGAAGAAGCTGAGACCCAGAGAGGTGGAGCCACTTGTCCTGAGACACACAGCATGTAAGTTACAGAGCCAGGATCCCAACCCAGTCCTACCTGCCCCAAAAGTCCATCTTCCCACAAGTCTTGCTCATTTCCTCACATGGCAGACACTGTTCTGGGCACTTAGTTGGCACCTTCTCTTGCATTCAGCCAACAGACCCACCACGTTGGGTCCTAGAGGCTGGGGCTGTCTCCCCCAGCCCAGCCCCAGGGCCCTGTCCCTACTCCCAGCCCTGCCCCTCCTTCCTCACACCCCATGCCCCCTCCTGGAGCCCACCTCAATCTTGCTGTTGTACACCAGGATCTCCAGCACGGAGGCCTCTTCCCCACACGTGTCCAGGGAGGAGAGGTCATAAAGCGAGGAATACACTGGCCCATAGGCCCAGTCCTTGAACTTGCGGGACAGGTGCCGTGTGTCCTCATCCGTCACCTCCCGCCGGATGATGTGCTGAAAGATCTGCACAGGGGGCCAGGAGGGTCAGGGGGCTCACACTGGAAAGACCCCCAGGGCTGGGCCCAGCTCAGCACATGACGCCTCCCCAGAAAACAGCTAAGCACCGGCTGCTGGAGGACCCTTTCCTCATCTTGTTTAATTCTTGCTCTTATTATCTTGGTTTACAGATAAAGAATGGAGGCTGGGAAAAACGAAGGGTGTTCCAGAAGCCACTTAACCAGTCAGCTGGAGCCAGACAGAACCTGGATGAGCCTTCAACATCTTAATTGTAATGAATATCTTCTTCATGCCGTTAAAATAGCAATGAATCCATCTTAATGACATGTGAATTATAATACTGACGATCACATGCGGTCCTTCCTGTTACCACTCCTCCTTCCCTGGCTTACACACAGGGAAGCGGAGGCACAGAGAGGGGTGGGAATTGCCCAAGGTCAGGCAATGTTAGGATTTTGGGGTTTTTGTTTTGAGACAGAGTCTCTCTCTGTCACCCAGGCTGGAGTGCAGTGGCGCGATCTCAGCACACTGCAACCCTCTCCTCCTAGGTTCAAGCAATTCTCCTGCCTCAGCCTCCTGAGTAGCTGGGATTACAGGTGCCCACTATCACACCCAGCTAATATTTTTGTATTTTTAGTAGAGACGGGGTTTCACCATGTTGGCCAGGCTGGTCTTGAACTCCTGACCTCAGGTGATCCGCCCACCTCGGCCTCCCAAAGTGCTGGGATTACAGGCATGAGCCACTGTGCACAGCCAGGATTTTGGGGTTTTTTGAGACAGGGTCTGGCTCTGTTGCCCAGGCTGGAGTGCAATGGCACTATCACAGCTCATTGCAGCCTCAACCTCCTGGGCTCAAGTGCTCCTCCCACCTCAGCCTCCCAAAGTGCTAGGATTACAGACACGAGCCACTGAGCCTAGCCAAAGCCAGGATTTAAACTGGAGCCTTTCTACTGCCTCAGGGCCATGGTATAATTGCAATTTTAGTAATTTTTGCTACATTTTTTTTTATTTTGGTTTTTATTTATTTGGGATCTCAAATAATCCAGGCTGGACTTAAACGATCCTCTCACCTCAGCCTCCCAACTAGCTGGCATTACAGACATGTAAGTGACACTTACTGCTTCTCCCAGGCTCCTTCCTAAGAGCCTTATGTGGATCACCGCATTTGTCACAACACCACACCAGAGGACACTCTTATATCCCCATTTTACAGACAAGGAAACTGAGGCACAGAAAAGGGAAATGAGATGTCTGAGGTCACACACTGGGAAGTGGTAGCGCCAGGGCTTGGACAGGTGCTCCTGCCTCTAGCATACTCCAGACTTGGTTCCCAATCCAGCGATGGTGCCCCCCAGAGGACAATTCAGCAATGTTCTGGAGATATTTTTGGTGGTCACAAGTGTAAGGGGAGGTGTTCCTGGCATCTGGTGGGTAGAGGCCCGGGATGCAGATCAATGTCTGGCAATAGCACAAGACGGTCCCCACCACAAAGAGCCTGCCGCCCAAAATAATCATGCTGAAGTTGAGAAACCCTTCTCCAGGCCCCATGCTGCGCGGCCCAGAAAAGGGAAGGAACTGGGGCAGGGCCATTCAACAGGTTTGAGGCTGGGAGCACCGCTGGGCTAGGGCCCGGGGACTCAGTTTCTTATCAGTGGCTCATCCTGGCTGGTGGGGGTGGAGTGGTGAACATCCAGTAGGGTGACATGAGGCGAGAGGCTCGGGGATGAAGCTAAGGAGCTTGGCTGGACACTAGGGAGCCATAGCAGGTTCTTGAGCTGGGACATCTGCACACTGGGGTTGGCATGTTGGGAGGTGCATGCACGTATTAATAATGAATACCAGCAGCAGACCCTCGTGTGTGTGTGCAGAGGGGTACGAGTAGGTGGATCAGCTGTGCCCCCAGCCGCACACTCACCCCAATCTTGCCCGTCTTGGCAGCCATCATGAGGGGCGAGAGGCCGTCGTTGTTGAGCACGGCCTCCAGGTTGCTGTCGGGGAAGAGGCGGGCACACTTGAGCAGCAGCAGGTCGTACATCTTGGTAACAAACTTGGTGTTCTCACGGGTGTTGTCAGCAATGGCCACCAGCGCATGCAGCACTGTGTTGCCTCGCGAGTCCTGGCGCCGCATGTCCGCCTTCTTGTGGGGGTTCTCCGTCAGGTAGTTGACAATGTGGGGCTGGTTGGTGCAGGCAGCCAGCGACAGGGGCAGCTCCCCTGCGGGCCAGGGTGAAGGGTGGGAGGTCAGCGAAGGGGGCCCAGGGTGGGACTCTGCCTGCAGACACTCGGGGGACGGACACCGTGGCGCTCTGAGGATAATGACGGAGACAGCACCAGCAGTGGATATGAACTGCACGTTTCTCTGGGTGATGCCAGGGAGATGGGGTGTGGCTAGTTAAGGGCACAGCCACGCGATTTGGAGGCTGTGAGGGACTGGACACATCCAATGATGGAATTCTTTTTTTTTTTTTTTTTGAGACAAAGTCTCACTCTGTCGCCTAGGCTGGAGTGCAGTGGCACAATCTCGGCTCATTGCAACCTCCACCTCCCGGGTGCAAGCAGTTCTTGTGCCTCAGCCGAGTAGCTGGGATTACAGGCGCACGCCACCACACCTGGCTAATTTTTGTATTTTTAGTAGAGGCAGGATTTCGCCATGTTGGCCAGGCTGGTCTCAAACTCCTGACCTCAAGTGATCCGCCGACCTCGGCCTCCCAAAGTGCTGGGATTACAGGCGTGAGCCACCGCGCCCAGCTGATGATGGAATTCTTTGTGTGACTTTGTCCCTGAGCTGCACATAATGAATGCCTTTAAGCAGGGGCAAAATTCAAAATATTTCATGAGTCCAGTGATGACAACGGCAGTGGTGGGCTTTGGGCCTGGTGATGGGGCTGTTGGTCCCAGCATAAACCAGATTAAAGCACACAGACAATACAGAGCTGGGCGCTGACATCACAGCCCAAGGGCCTCTCGTGATCCCCACTGCACAGCTGGGGAAGGTGAGGCTCAGGGAAGTGAGGTCACATGCCTGGAAAGTGCAGAGTGAGGATTTGGCTTTTTTTTTGTTCTTTTCTTTTTGCTTTTTAAAGACGGGGTCTTGCTCTATTTTCCAGGCTGGAGTGCAGTGGTGCAATCATGGCTTACTGCAGCCTCGAACTCCTAGGTTCAAGTGATCCTCCAGCCTCGGCCTCCCAAGCAGCTGGGACTTCAAGCACATGCCACCATGCCATCTAACTTATTTATTTATTTATTTATTTATTTATTTTTTGAGACAGAGTCTCACTCTGTCACCCAAGCTGGAGTGCAATGGGGAAATCTCGGCTCATTGCAACCTCTGTCCCCCAGGTTCAAGCAATTCTCCTGCCTCAGCCTCCCAAGTAGCTGGGATTACAGGCACCCACCACCATGCCCGGCTAATTTTTGTTATTTTTGTAGAGATGGGTTTCACCATCTTGTTGGCCAGGCTGGTCTTGAACTCTTGACCTCAGGTGATCCACCTGCCTCATCCTCCCAAAGTGCTGGGATTACAGGCATGAGCCACCGTGCCCAGCCATTTTTTAAATGTTTAAAAGAGACAGGGTATTGCTATGTTGCCTAGGCTGGTCTCAAACTCCTGCCCTCAAGCGATCCTCCTGCCTTGACCTCCCAAAGTGCTGGGATGACAGGTGTGAGACACCGTGCCTGGCTGGAGTGAGGATCTGAATCCAGGTCCATGGTACTCCCCATGGCACTTACACCTCAGAGGCAACGGCCCTGTGACCAAGACCAACGTGCAGCCTGTGGTCCAGAGTGCTGCCTGCGCTCATGGCCAGAGTGGCCCTGGGTGTCTGGGTGATGGTCAGGGCTGCAGACACCAACCAGTATCATGCTATCTCCCGCCATGCTTCTCCAGCATGCTGTCAGCCCCCACCAGGCCCCTCCTTACCAAAGTAGAAGTAGCCCCCCTCATCCTTGGGCTGGAAGAAGCGCCCACGGGCCTGGGCGTGGACATCAGCTCCCTGGGCCACGAGAAGTTCCACGTAGTGTTTGCAGCGACGCTCAATGGCGATGTGCAGGGCTGTCTGACCTGGGGGCAGGGGACGGTCATCCAGGGTCCTGGCGGAGCAGAGACCTAGCCAGGCTTGCTGGGGGTGGGGGTAGGGTGCAGGACGTAGAAATTGGGGGGTGGGGGATGCAGGCAGAGTCCTGCCCAGCGACACCCAAGGGCAGCAAATAGGTCCTTGGATATTCCCTGGGATCCATCGCAGAAGCAGAATCTCAAGCCTGAAGGATACCTAGTTTGTGGAATCCTGAATGTGAGAAGTTTTTAGATTCATAAGATGCTTTAAAAATCCTAGAGGAGGCCAGGCGCAGGCTCACGCCTGTAATCCCAGCAATTTGGGAGACCAAGGAGGGAGATCACCTGAGCCCAGGCGTTTGAGGCAAGCCTGGGCAACACAGTGAGATCCCATCTCTATAGAAATGCTAAAAATTAGCTGGGCCTGGTGACTTACACCTGTGGTCCCAGCTACTCCAGAGGCTGAGGCAGGAGGATTGCTGAAGCCTAGCAGTTCAGTACCAGCCTGGGCAACTGATATGGTTTGGCTCTGTGTCCACACCTAAATCTCACCTTGAATTGTAGTTCCCATAATCCCCATGTATCATGGGAGGGACCCTGTGAAAGGTAATTTAATCATGGGGGCAGTTACCCTCATGCTGTTTTCATGATAGTGAGTGAGTCCTCAAGAGATCTGATGATTCTATAAGGGGCTTTTCCCCCTTTTGCTTGGCACTTCTTCTTCCTACCACCATGTGAAGAAGGACATGTTTGCTTCCCCTTCCACAATGATTGTAAGTTTCCTGATGCCTCCCCAGCCCTGCGGAACTGTGAGTCAATTAAGCCTCTTTCCTTTATAAATTATCCAGTCTTGGGCAGTTCTTTATAGCAGCATGAGAACGGGCTAATACAACAACATAGTGAGACCCTGTCTCTACAGAAATTTTAAAAATTAGCCTGGCATGGTGGTCCATGCCGGTGGTCCCAGCTACTTGGGAGGGTGAGGTGGGAGACTCCCTTGAGCCCAGGAAGTCAAGGCTGCAGTGAGCCATGATCACACCACTGCACTCCAGCTTGGGTAACAGAGCAAGACCTTGTCTCAAAAAAAAGAAAACTCCTAGAGGAAACAACAGTACCTTGGCCTCCCAGAATTTTGGACTCAAGATATAATATTCATGGATTTTGAATCTTAATATCCAGGCATCTGAAGGTCAACTCTGATTTACAGAATCTCAACTGGGGATTGGCCCAGTTCTTGGCCCCCTGCTGCCTTTGCCTCTTAGAACTTGTGAACTCAGGACTTATTATCATAGAGCCTTAGAGTATCCGCCACCACAGCATCTTAGGGCCAGATCCCGAGTTCATGATCACTAGACTCGCTGCATCTCAGAATCTTGGAATCTTTTTTTTTTTTTTTTTGAGACAGGGTCTCACTCTGTCACCCAGGCTGGAGTGCAGTGGCACAATCATAGCTCACTGAAGCCTTGACCCTCTGAGCTCAAGTGATCTTCCCACCCCAGCCTCCCAAGTAGCTGGGACTACAGGTGTGCACCAACAAGCCTGGCTTTTTTTGCATCTTTTTTTTTTTTTTGAGATGAGTCTTGCTCTTGTTGCCCAAGCTGGAGTGCAATGGCGCGATATTGGCTCACTGCAACCTCCACCTCCCAGGTTCAAGCGATTCTCCTGCCTCAGCCTCCCAAGTAGCTGAGATTATAGGTGCGCACCACCACGCCTGGCTAATTTTTGCATTTTCAGCAGAGACAGGGTTTCACCATGTTGGCCAGGCTGGTCTTGAACACCTGACCTCAAGTGATCTGCCCACCTCAGCCTCCCAAAGTGCTGGGATTACAGGTGTGAGCCACCGCACCTGGCCTTCTTTTATTTTATTTTTTTTTTTTTGTATCTTTTGTCAAGACAGGATTTCACCATGTTGCCCATGCTGGTCTTGAACTCCTGGGCTCAAGCGATCTGCCCCCCTTGGCCTCCCAAAGTGCTGGGATTACAGGTAAGAGCCACCGCACCCAGTGGAATCTTCTATTCTGAAACTCGAAACAAAGTTGGAAGGGGTAGTTACCGTTCCTTCATCCATCCATCTATCCATGCATCCATGCATCCATCCATCCATCCATCCATCCATCCATTTGTCAGGTCCTGGGTACATGCTGGCACTTAGGCCCAGATCAAAAGTCTCAGGAGTCAGACAAGCAAAGGACAGCGTCTCCATCAGCCCCCGTGGCACCCCTGCCCAGCCCGGGGCCCCACCTCGATAGTAGATGTCACGGAAGGGCGAGTTAATGAACTCCCTCATGTTGCCGGTGCGCTCCGCGATGTCCAGCAGCACAGGGATGGTGTCGTTGCGGCCATTGCTCAGGTTCAGCAAGGCCTTGGGCAGGCAGGTCTTCCCCGTAGATGGCTCTAGCAAGAGAGACACACAAGATGACGCAGTGCTCCAGCCCATGACCTTGAACTTCCAGGCATCGGGGTACAGAACACTGGGTAGGGGGTCAGATGTCCTGGCTGTCAACATCTCCTCTCCAAGCCTGTTTCCTCATCTGTCCAGTGGGGACCCAGGGCCACTCTATCTTTCTGCCTCCAGTGGTGCTGAGAGGGTACAATAAACGCATGGGGTTAGGTGCTTTGAAATGTGAGAGGCTTCAGCCTACAGATTGGTATTTATTTAATTAATCTTATTTGGGAAGATTTTGTATTTATTTTTATTTATTAATATCCTTTTTTTTGAGAGAGAGGGTCTCGCTCTGTCATCCAGCCTGGGGTATAGTTGTGCAATCCTAGCTCATTGCAGCCTCCGATTCCTGGGCTCAAGTGATCCTCCCACCTCAGCCTCCCAAGTAGCAGCTAAGACTACAGGTGTGCACCTCCATGCTCAACTAATTTTTTAATTTTTATTTTCGTAGAGAAGGGATCTCACTCTGTTACCCAGGCTGGTCTCAAACACCTGGCCTCAAGTGATCCTCCCACCTCAGCCTCCCAAAGTGCTGGGATTACAGATGTGAGCCACCACACCTGGCCCTCGAAAAGATTTATGTAAAGTGCTTCATAAACAAATAAATGGTTAGAATGCTGGGTTAAACAAAGCCAATCATAATTCCTTACTACAGGACTTCTCAGAGCCTTTCATACACTAACAGGGACTGTGAACCTGTAAAAGCAAGACACACTAGGCAGCATTCACCCACCTGTCAGAGCATCGAATCCTTTTCCCATGAAGCATTTACACTGGTGCCCCTAGAAGGGAGTGGAGGGGTGCAGCGTTCCCCAAAGTGTGGGACTGTGTGCCACAGTGGATGTGAACTGACCTTAGGGGATCCAGGAGAGAATCTTGGGGGTTCTAGGGGGTGCAACAATAATAACCCTGAAGGTTTCATCCACTATCGAATCTTTCTCATGAAGTCAACTCTCCGTTTGGTACTAGCGGGTCCTTAACACCTCTCACTAACGCTTGCTGATGTCTCTTTGCAAGTTTCTTTCTGTTGTAGCTATTTTTATGGTTACCTGAGTTGATTTATATCTCAAAAGAGTAAGTTGAAAACTCCCCTGTGAATCAAGGACAGGGCAAAATCAGCCAGGGGCTCAGGAATGGCCAGAGGGTGGGAGACGCAGGTGTGGGTTCAGGTGCCCGTTCTGAAGCCAGGCACCTCAGGTTTGAGGCCTGGCTTTGCTCCCCACAGCTGTATGACCATTTCTCTGCTTAGGGTCCTTTCTGGCTAAATTAAAGCTATGAAGGGAAATCAAAGAGCTAATCAGTGTTTGTTGATTAGCCCAGTACCAGGCAGATAGCAGTCTTTGATAAATATTACTGTTGCTGTTATCAATCCATGAGACGGGATTTAGGAACCGTCTCCCTAAATGCCGGGAATCAGTGGGGCAGACTCAAGAGACCTGAATTCTAGTCTCAGCCCTTCCAGGAGCAGGGTTGTTTGGGACAAGTCTTGTTCCCAGTTGCTTTCCCGCTGTCCACCTGGCGCCCAGCTCAGAGGCGACACCAAACCTCTCATGGAATAATGTGGCCCAGCCACCATCCCTCTCACATGCCTAAGACACCTCCTTTATTTCCCTCATTTCCCCCAGCCTCTCTGGCCTTCCTTTATCCACTTTCCACATAGCAGCTGGAATGGTCATTTCAGACTGCAATAGACCACGGTGAACTACAGGGTCTTTGCACCTGCTGTCTCTGAACCCCCACCCCAATCTGAAACATTCTTCCCTCCTCTTTTCACCTGGTTAACTGCAACTCACTCAGACTCTGCTCAAGTGTTACCTCCTCCAGGAAGCTCTCCTGGATTTTCCCTGACTAGGTCAAATCCTCCAGTACAGCCTTTTGTTGACACCTGTTACAGTTCATAACTGTGTGCTTATTTATGTGGTTGCTTGGTCAATGATGGTCCTGTCCAGGAGCCTGTGGGCACCTTGAGGGCAGGGTGATGTCTGCTTTGCTCACTATCATTCGGCCTCTGCCAAGCACAGTGCCTGGTATGTGGTAGGTGCCCAACAACCATTTGCTGAGTTAACACACATTGAATGAAGGCGAGAGCTGGGCACCCCAGGTAATTCCAAACCATAGGTGACCCAAAGTGGAACTAGAGACCCTGGATTCGGGCTTTCAGACACAGGTTATAGACCCAGGGAGGGGACGCCTGGGTCCTGGGAGAAGATGTCAGGAGCAGCATCTTCCCAGAGATGAGGTGGAACATGCAGTTCCAGGAACCAGCCACCAGGTGGCGAAGTGGCTCTGCCCAGGGTGGGGTGCTGTAGCCAGGGGCTCTAAATTGACAATTGCCAAATTGGAGGTTGTGAAACTCTGCGGAGGGGAGGTGGGGGCACAGGAGGGCGTCCCAGACTTCCCTGATAATCAGATGAGCTCATGACCTTTTAGCCATGCAGGGACGGATCCAGGTTTTGTGGGACGTAGACTAGGTCGAGGACCTCAGAAAGGGCCTTAGCCAGGGGCCCTGGCACTTAATTAGTATCATGGACCTCACAGTAAGTCTCCCTCTATGCACATACGCTAGCCTCTGCAATTTCAGAGACCCACCTCCAAAGCCTATCTTAGAGTCCCCCACCCACACTCATGCACAGACACACATGCATCTGGGTTCCTGGACTATGCTAGAAGCCCCCAACTCAGTCCTGAATTCAGAAGAAGCCAGAGGCCTTGACAAGCTAGCCTGGTGCTGAAGGCACAGGTGCCAGCATCCATCTCCCAGGATTCGCTCTACCCCAAGATTCCGCACTTTTGCCTCACGTACTTGGTGGACCAGGAGAGGCCATTTGGCCAGGGCTTAAACATGGGTTATCTCCGAATGAGATTACTCATGCCATCACTGAGCTACTCCAGGAGCAGAGAGAAGCCCCGTCCTCCCACAGCTCTAAACTTGTGCCTCCAAACGAGGCCACGTCGCGTGGCCAGGAACCATGAATGAATATTTTTCATAAATCCAGCAATTGTATTTTCTTTTTTTTTTTGAGACAGAGTCTCGCTCTTTCGCCCAGGCTGGAGTGCAGTGGTGCAATCTCGGCTCACTGCAACCCCCACCTCCCAGGTTCAAGTGATTCTCCTGGCTCAGCTTCCTAAGTAGCTGAAATTACAGGTGTGTGCCACTAAGCCTGGCTTTTTTTTTTTTTTTTTTGTATTTTTAGTAGAGACAGGTTTTTACCATGTTGGCAAGGCTGGTCTCAAACTCCTGACCTTAGGTGATCCACCCGCCTCAGCCTCCCAAAGTGCTGGGATTATAGGCATGAGCCACCGCACCCGGCCCCAGTAATTGTCTCCTGATGGACACAATGATACTGCATCGTATTGTTTCAGGGTAAGAATGAGGTTGAGGCCAGCCTCAGTGGCTCATGCCTGTAATCCCAGCACTTTGGGAGGTTGAGGCAGGAGGATCGCTTGAAGCCAGGAGTTTGATACCAGCCTGGGCAACATAGTGAGACCTGTCTCTTAAAAAAAAAGAAAAAAAAAAATTTAGCCAGGCATGGTAGCTTGCACCTGTAGTCCCAACTACTCTCGAGGCCGAAGCAGGAGGATTGCTTGAGGCCAGAAGTTCAAGGCTGCAGGGAGCTGTGATCACACCACAGCATTCCAGCCTGGGTGACAGAATGAGACCCTATCTCAAAAAAAAAAAAGAAAAAAAAAAAAAAAACAGGTTGATAAAGGTATATGTGGATGATGTAGCACAGACTTGTTCACCCTGTTTGGGAACTTAATTTACTTAAAGTAACTGAAGTCTTAAAAAATGTCCTCTTCTGGCTGGGCACAGTGGCTCATGCCTATAATCCCAGCACTTCGGGAGGCCAAGGCGGGCAGATCACCTGAGGTCGAGAGTTCAAGACCAACCTGACCAACATGGAGCGACCCCGTCTCTACTAAAAATACAAAATTAGCCGGGCGTGGTGGCGCATGCCTGTAATCCCAGCTACTTGGGAGGCTGAGGCAGGAGAATCACTTGAACCCAGGAGGCGGAGGTTGCAGTGAGCAGAGATCATGCCATTGCACTCCAGCCTGGGCAACAAGAATGAAACTCTGTCTCAAAAAAAAAAAAAAAAGCCTCTTCTGACATCCCTGAAGCCTCCTCAGACTTAGGCTGTAGACCAACCATGGTCCGCCTTCCAAGATGGGCCCTTCTTCATAGCAGGTATCACAATTCTTTTTTTTTTTTTTTTCCTGTCTGTCACCCAGGCTGGAGTGCAGTGGCATGATCACAGCTCACTGCAGCCTGAGCCTCCCAGGCTCATGCAACCCTCCTGCCTTGGCCTCCCAAAGTGCTGGGATTACAGGTGTGAGCCACCATGCCCAGCCTTGGTGTCACACTTCTTGACATGGTATCTTGACTTGTGAGATCACGGCCAGTTTAATAATGGCTTACCCAGAACCCAGCACATTGCAGGTGGCTGATTTGGGTGCAGGTGTTCACAGGTAAGGCCTGGGGCTGTGGAGGGTGCCGGTGTCCTGAGGTGGGTGTTTTGAATCTGGACAAGGCTGAAGGGTTAGCTCTCTGGGCTGGGGCTTCAGCCTAGGAAGTGGAGCCCTAAAGCTAGGCTGGGGTGGAGCAGACCCCAAGAAGTAGAATCAGGACTACCAGCCCAGACACCTGCCCATCCCTCCAGACCTTCCCTCAGGGGAGCAGGAGCTCCAGGACTCCAGCTGCCTGCGCTGGGCTCTCTGTGGGATGAGAGCCAGGAGTATGCTATGATTATTCCCCAGTTTACAGATGAGGAAACGGAGGCTCAGAGAGGTCACACATCGCTTAACTGGTAAAGGTAGAATCTGAACCCAGGTAGGTGGACTCTGCTTACCCACTACACTAACCTTTTCATACATAAGGGCTGAATGAATGAAAGAATGAATAAATGGAGGTAGCTGAGGCACAGAGAGGTTAAGTAACATGGTGAAGGACACACAGGACCAGACTCCCTGTCCAGTGCACTTTCCAGGCCAATGCAGTCCACCGACCCAAAGAAAGAAGCTGAGGGGAAAGGGGGCCCCCAATGCCAGGCTTCCCCCACACCCCTGGCTGTCCCACTGGCTATGCCCATCTGGGTGGCTCACCTCGAAACTCCTCATCAGTTAGGCGTTTCTTGTGGGTCAGCAAGAATGGGAGCAGCCCGTCCAGGTCAGCAGTGGAGCCCCGGGACACGATGTCAAAGAGGATAGGCCGGTTGAAGACTTTGAGGATGGGGGGCGGCTGAGGGGCAGGGGCTTTGGGGCTCTGCGGCTGCTTCCTGGAGGAGGTAGGGAGGCAAGTTGATGGGAGGGCTCATCCCCTGCCTGCCCCACTGTCCCTGGCCTTAGGGACCCAGAGACTGTGGTGGCGGGCAGGCAGCTGAAGCCTTACAAGGAACAGGGTGAGGTAGTTGGGGCAGATGTAAAAACTAAGTAATGTTTTATCCAACAAACTATAGCTAGTACCTACTGTGTGTTGGGTGGAGACAAACAGAAAGAAATGCACAGACTGCCCATACATCTATCCACCCATCCATCCACACATCCACTCACCGACCCATCCATCTATCCATCCATCCATCCATCACTCATCTATCCATCTACCTATCCACCCACTCATCCATCTATCCACCCATCCATCCATCACTCATCCATCCATCCATCCATCTACCCATCCACCCATCTATCCATCCAACCATCACTCATCCATCCATCTACCCATCCACCCACTCCTCCATCTATCCACCCATCCATCCATCATTCATCCATCCATCCATCCATCTACCCATCCACTCACCCATCCATCCATCCATCACTCATCCATCCATCCATCTACCCATCCACCCACCCATCCATCCATCCATCCATCACTCATCCATCCATCTGCCCACTCATCCATCCATCCATCCACCCACCCACCATTCACCCATCCACCTACCCACCCATCCATCCATTCATCACTCATCCATCCATCACTCATCCATCCATCCACCCATCCATCCACTTATCCATCCGTCCATCACTCATCCATCCATCTACCCATCCACCCACCCATCCATCCATTCATCCACCCATCTAACTACCCGCCCATCCATCCATCCACCTACCCGCCCATCCATCCATCCATCCCTCATCCATACATCCACCCACCCAGCATCCACCCATCCACCTACCCACCCATCATCCATCCACCCATTCATCCATCCATCACTCATCCATCCATCCATCCCTCACTGATCCATCCATCCATCCACCCACTCATCCATCCATCCATCCATCCATCACTCATCCATTCATCTACCCATCCACTCACTCCTCCATCTGTCCACCCATCCATCCACTACTCATCCATCCATCCACCCACTCATCCATCCACCCATCTGCCCATCCATCCACTCACCCATCCATCCATCCATCCATCCATCACTCGTCTATCCATCCATCTGCCTATCCACCCACCCACCCATCCATCCATCCATCCATCCATCCATCCATCCAACTGCCCATCCACTCACCCACCCACTCATATATTAGTCATTTATTGAGTACTTACTAAGGCAGAGAAACTGAAAGAGACAAAAACAAAGATAAAATAAAGAAACAGCAGACTAAAAGATGAGGCATTTCATCCATTCATTCCATAACTAACCCATTAATTTATTCATTCAACAAACATTTGAGACAAATGAGGCCATGCTCATATGTACCTGCCCATGGCCCACCACACGGTAAACATTCAATAAATGTTAGTTGATATTACCATTATTAATGAGTGCCTACTGTGTGTCTGGAGCTTGTATGTGCATGGGAGAGATGTGGGGCTACAGAGGCAGATGGCGGAAGGGTGTGGCACAGAGAGGGCTGGGAAGAGAAGAGATAGAGAGAGAAAGGAAGGAAACAGACACTAAGAGCTGGAGGGCTTGGAGACACTCATTCAGTCATTCAACAAACATTATTTCGGCACCTATTATGTGCTAGGTTCTGAGAGAGAAAGAGCTAGCCCAGGGCCACCATGAGGCAGGAATGCTCTCTCTGTCACATTCTTACCTGGCCCAGTGCCTGGCACATCTTGGGATGCAGTAAGACTCTGTTCAATGAATAAGAGACTAAAGAGAAGGAGGAAGATGGAGGCACAGGGTCTGGGAGGGAGAAGAGGGGAGAGTAGGGGAACAGAGAAAACCCTAACAAGAGGCAGCAGGGCCAGAGGGGAAGGGGAATGCAGTTGGGGAAACTGAGGCCAGGGCAGGTTGTGGAAGCAGGTGGGACGGGGTTGCAAGGGTGGACAAAGCTGGCATCTGGCTGTACCCAGCCTGTCTTGCCATGAGAAGGGGACAGCCACTCTCCTCCCTTCCTCTTCGCCAGGGGTTGAGATTTTCCATCTCAGGGCAGGTACTGGCAAAGGGGATCATTAGCATCCACAGTAGGGTAAGACGTGCTCTCCTGTTGACAGGGGCACAGGCACAGATACAGCCTCTAATGAGGGCACTTAGGCAGCCCCCACTTTACCTCTTCCTGAACTTTGACCTTTGAGCCAAAAAATAAAAAGCAATACTGCCCCCACCAGATCTCACTGAGGCAGCCTTCAGGGCTCAGCCGTGCCCCACTTACTCCACCAGCCTGGACTTCCTGGGGTAGGGGTGGGGAGGAGGGCTTGCGGGAGGGGAATGGGAGATACAGAGCCCACCAGCTTTCAACAGGACCTGGGAAGGCTTGGGGACAGAAGGATGGGAACACTGGGCACTCTGCTGCTCTGGCCCTTAGTTTCCACCTCTGAGCAGAGGTTGTACAGATTTTTCAGCACAGACAACTGTGAGGCCCTATTCCTTGGCGACATCTGCAGAGCCTCTCCAGCCTTAGGCCCTTGCACTCACACTTCTCTCCACCTACAACACCCTTCCCTCCCTCTCTGTGACTGCCCCTTCATGACCTTTAGCTTTGGGCTTAAATGTCAACTCCTCCAAGAAGCCCTCCTGGATTACCTTTCTTGTATCCACCCACTCTCTAACTTCAGCACCTCCCCCAACTCACATGGCACATCCATGTGCTCAGCTACTTGCTTCTTGTCTGTCTCACCCTCTAAACGGAAAGTGCCGCCTGAGTAGAAGTGGATCTGGTCTGGCTCAGCCTGAAGCCTCAGGGCCAACCCCACTGACTGGCAGACAGTGGGCACCCAAGAAACATCCACTGGCTGGGTGCGGTGGCTCACGCCTGTAATCCCAGCATTTTGGGAGGCCGAGGTGGGCAGGTCACTTGAGGACAGTAGTTCGAGACTAGCCTGGCCAACATGGTAAAACCCTGTCTCTACTAAAAATACAAAAATTAGCCGGTTGTGGTCGTGCACACCTGTAGCTCCAGCTACCCAGGAGGCTGAGGCTGGAGAATTGCTTGAACCTGGGAGGTGGAGGTTGCAGTAAGCCAAGATAGCGCCACTGCACTCCAGCCTGAGTGGCAGAGAAAGAACCTGTCTCAAAAAAAAAAAAAAGAAAAAGAGACATCTGAATGAATCAATGACTGTGAATAAATAAAGGGGGCGGCTCTTGACCAAGCAAGGGCTGTGAAGGTGAATCGGCTCCATCCAAGAGATAAATGAATCTGTGGCCAGCAGGGGGACAGAGGAGGACACGCAAGTCCAGGTCATCTCCAGACCTCAGCACCATCCTCCAGGACACACACACAGGCCACCGAGAGGAGATTTCATGGAGCAGTTGAGGAAAGGGTCAATTCAGGGCACATTAGGGACAGCAGGGCCGGGACATAGAAAGGATACAGTTCAGCAGGGCCTGCTGAGGCTCAGGAGGAGCTGGCTAGGAGACTGCAAGCCCTGCTCCCTCCTCCAAACTGCCAAAAGCTTGTGGAAGTCCCTGGGCTTCCTAAAGGACCAGGAGGGAGGGCTCAACCTCACAAAGCAGGGAGTCTGCAGGTGACAGACAATAGAGTCATGCTGGAAACAGAACCCGGGATGTCTGAGTTTGCAGAGTGCCACACAAACCACATGCAGATGCCAGCATAACACACTGGGGGAGGATGGGGACCAGACAAGGTGGTCAAGGGGGCTGGAGGCTCCCTGTCCCCAGCTAGGCCTGGCATGGAATGCGTCATAGGGGCCACATGCTGTGGCCCCATCCAGGGCTTCTCTCCAGTCTGTCTTTTCTTTCAGCAAGGCTGTCATTATGGGAAAGAAGGTTGAATGCCTTGGGGTTTCCAGCTCTTTCTAAGCCTCAGGAAAGCCACTGGATGGCCAGGAATGGAGGTGATGATTGAAGAAGACCCAGGAGGGGCAGCTGGATGTGTGCCAGGAAGAGAAGGTAGGGAGATGGATGGATGAATAGATGCAAAAATGGAAGAAAAGATGAGCAAATGAATAAATGAGTCAGTGACTAAGCAAACAAAAGAGTGAATGGACAAATGGATGGACAGAGATCTGGGTGAATGAATTGGTGGTTAGAAGAGAGAAGGAGAGGAAGGAAAGAAGGACAGCAGGCAGGTGAGCAATCAAGCATGAGAAATGGAATGAATGAATGAATAAATGAATGAATGATGAATAGTTTGATAGCTGAATGGCTAGATGACTAGAAACAGTGGGTAGGTGAGAAGATGAAATGACATTCAGATGAGAAAATGGTAGATGAATGGAAGGTTGGTTATATGGGTGTATGGCTGGACAGATGGCTGACAGATGGGTAGATGAGTAGATAGATATTTTAATGAGTGGACAATGGATCTATAGATTGGATAGGTGGACAAAAAAGTGTAAAGATGGGTAAATGAATGAGTAGATGATAGATGGATAAATGGATGGATGGATGGATGGATGAACAGATGTATAAATAAGAAGATAAACAAATGGAAGGCTGGATGTGTAGGTGAAGAGATGGACAGACAAGTAGATTAATGGGGGACAGATGAGTACGTGGATATGTAGGTGAATAAAAAAAGATGAGGCGGGATGCGGTGGCTCACACCTATAATCCCAGCACTTTGGGAGGCCAAGGCAGGTGGATCACGAGGTCAGGAGTTCAAGACCAGCCTGGCCAAGATGGTGAAAACCTGTCTCTACTAAAAATACAAAAAAAATTAGCTGGGTGTGGTGGCGGGTGCCTGTAATCCCGCTACTCGGGAGGCTGAGACTGGAGAATTGCTTGAACCCAGGAGGTGGAGGTTTCAGTGAGCCGAGATCATGCCATTGCACTCCAGCCTGGGCAACAGAGCAAGACTCCATCTCAAAAAGAAAAAAAAAGCAGATGAATGAATGGAGAGTTAGATGAGTAAATAGTTGTATAAATGAGTGGGTGGAAGGGTGAATGGGTAAATGGGTAAATGGCTGAGTTTGCATTTGTATAAATGCATTTGCATTTGTATAAATGAGTGGGTGGATGGATGCATTGTATAAATGAGTGGGTGGATGGATGAATGGATGAACAGACAAATGTCCTATGGAAGGGTGGACAGAGGGGTAAATGGGTAGAGTAATGGATGATGGATTAATAGATAGATGGATGATGAATAGATGGATGGATGATGGATAGATGGGTAGATGGATGGATGGATGATGGGTGGATAGATAGATGATATATGGATGGATGGATAGATTAATGGATAGATGGACATATGGAATGATGAATAGACGAGTAGATGGACAGATGGAAGGATGATGGATGAATGGATGGATGGATGATGGGTAGATGGATAGATGGATGGATAGTAGATAGATGGACAGATGGAATAATGATGGATAGATGAATAGATGGACAGATGGAAGGATGATGTATAAATGAATAGATGAATGGATGGATGATGGATGATGGATGGTTGGATAGATGGATAGATGATAGATGGCTGGATGATGGATGGATGTATGGATGGATGATATATGGATGGATGATATATGGATGGAGAGATGAATGGATCGATGGATAGATGTATGGATGGTTGGATGGATGGATGGAGGATATAGAGATGGAGAGATGAATGGATTGATGGATAGATGTGTGGATGGTTGGATGGATGGACGAATAGATGGGTGGTTGGATGGATGGATGGACGGATGATATATGGATAGGGAGATGAATAGATGGATGGATAGATGTATGGATGGTTGGATGGACAGATGGATGGATGGATGAATCGACGGATGGGTGGATAATAGATAGAGGGGTGGATGATGAATGGGTGAATGGATACAGAGGAGGAGACCACAGGCCAGGAAGCTAACAATACTCACTCTATGATCTTCTTCCTCCACCTCTTGTTGTCACTGGAGTGGTGACGATAGGTGCCGTAGTCAAACAGTGAGTCCATGGGTGCTTTCTTGGGCCCAGGCACCACCGAGGACTCATATAGGGTGGACTCCAGCAGATCGATGGGGTTGGGCACCCCCTTGCGGAAGGCGCCCTGGAACTTCATGCGCAGATTTGGTCGCCCATCGCCTGGGCCAGCAGGGCGACTGGCATCAGCCGGTGAGGGCGAAAGGGAGCCATCCTCCCCCTCAAACAGATTGGCCAGGGAGGAGAGAGGAAAAGCCTCCCCACCTGGGGTGCCACTCTCATCCCCGGGGAGCTCAGCCACCTCCCCGGGCCCCGCGCGGGGGCCTTCGCTGGAATCCGCCATGCCTGCCCCAGGCCCGTCTGCACTGCTCAGCCTGCAAGGGAATGAAAGGGGAGTCAGGCAGAACCCGGCCAGGGGCGGGGGCTCCAGGAAGCCCCCTCCCACGTGGACAAGCAGCAGTGCTGCCAGCTGCTTCAAAGCCACCGTTGTAATGACAGGGGCACAGGGAGGCCACTCCCAGATGTGGTTGGCCGCCAGCCTCAGGCGGGAACTGCAACAGGAGCCTCTTTCACGAACCTGGAAACACAAATTGGCCCCAGGTCCAACTACCCTGGGCATTAGCTGAAAGAGGGTGGACTTCAGGGTCAAGCTGGGACCCCATACTTGGATCCCAGACCCTACTGCTGACCAAGAAAGCCAGCTTTGGAGCCCCAGAGAGCCAAGTTCAAATCCAGGCTCCACACTTAGTCATTCCATGACATTGAGCAAGTCGACATTTCATAGCCTCAGCTTCCTGATCTGTAAGATGGGGATATCCAAGCCTCATGGACAGAACATGCAGTCCAGTGGCCAGTGCAGTGCAGTGCCTGGCACGTGGTAAGCACCTGCTAAGGCAGAACCATTAACCGTGGGCTTCAGGCACAGGAGGGGCTCAGAAAATCCATGTGGACTTGCTGTGTAGGCCGGCAGTCCTTTTCCTCATCAAACACTGTCATGATGAACCCATTTTACAGAACAGGAAACTGAGGCTCCAATACTTGAGTTGACTTCCCCAGTGCACAAACTCTGCTCCCCAGTGCAAAGTGCTGATCCCTCCCTGCACCTTTGCTGGTCAACTCCTCCCCACTGGTGTTCCAGCTCAACTGGGCTCCTCTGGAAAGCCCTCCCTGGCCTGCACACACTCGCTCCCAGGATCCATGCTCCTCTCCTCAGAAGCTTTATCCCAGCTGTTCACGGGATGGTTCGTTCCCAGGCTGTGGGTGCCAGGAGGCAGGAAATGTATCTGTCTTGTCCATCCCTGAGTCCTCACACAAATGAAAAACTTTATGACAAAGATGTCATTTGTTCCCATTTCTCAGATGAGGAAGCAGCTTTCAAAGGCAGCAAACAGCTTGCAGGAAGAAGAGCTGGACTTGAACCATGTCTCTCTGGCTCCCGGGTCCAGTGCTTAGCCAGGAGCCAGGGCAAGGGAGGGGCAAGGCCCCACTGGTTGGCTGTCAGTGCCCTGCTCTCTGTAGCATGGTGCCAGCCAGGCAGGGCTGGGCACCAAGGGTGAGTTTCCTGGAACTCTTACCACCCCACCCGGGAGGCAGGGGCATGTCTGAAAAGCCCTCTCTTGTACATCTCACCCTTCCCACCCAATACGCACGTAGAAAAACAAATAAACTAGTTCCCACCTTGTTTGTTCTGTGGCTTCCAGGAGGGAAGACTTGGACCAGAGAGGTGGGGACACAGCAAGAGGCCTCCCTTAGTGGGCGCAGCAGGACACAGAGGGTCAGAGCTCCCACTGGGGGTGGGCTTCCCTTTGGACACCAAAAGGGAGAGACAGCCTGGCCTTTGGAGTCATTCAGGCCTGGGTTCTAATCCCAGCTCTGCTATTTACATGTAGTGTGATCTTAGGTAAGTTACTTGAGCTCCCCAAGCCTCAGTTTCCTCCTCTGCAAAATGGGTACAATTGTAGTCACTTCTTCATAGGGTTGCAGGCAGTGGGAAGTGAGGTCAGATATATCCAGTGCCACTTCTGGGATTAAAGTGGGGTTTTGGCTCAGTGCAGCAGCTCACGCCTGTAACCCCAGCACTTTGGGAGGCCGAGGCGGGTGGATCACTTGAAGTCAGGAGTTCGAGACCAGCCTGGCTAACATGGCAAAACCCCGTCTCTATAAAAAATACAAAAATTAGCCAGGCGTGGTGGCACGTGACTGTAGTCCCAGCTACTTAGGAGGCTGAGGCAGGAGAATCACTTGAACCCAGGAGGCAGAGGTTGCAGTGAGCCAAGATGGCGCCACTGCACTCCAGCCAGGGCAACAGAGCAAGACTCTATCTAAAAATAAATACCTCAGGTAAGTTGCTTAGCCTCTCTGAGCCTCAGTTTCCTCATCTGTAAATAGAGTGGGACTTTCAGTTATTATAACCAAACGAAGAAAGAGAAGTTAGGAGGCCAGGTTCTGAAATGAGACCCAGTTCCTCTCTTGGCCCTGGTCATTAGCCGTTTGACCATGGGCAAATCACTTCCTCTGTCTGCCCCGTGGTTTTCCCACCTGTAAGACTGGAGTGACCACGCCTCCTCCTAGGGTCCTCCAGCATGTGAGGCACCTACTCAGTTCCAGCACCTAGTAGGACCTCTGGAGACACGAAGTCCTTTCGACTGGCCAGACAGGAGAGGGGGATCTGGATCCCTAGTCCCTCATGGCTGCCACATGCATTTGGGCTTTGCTCTGCAGGAATGGGGGCCAGGGGGTTGCTGAGGCAGGAGGGGCATCTGCAGGGGCACAGGCATTGGCGGGAGGTGGATTAGACTCTCCTGGGCATGGCCCTGTCCACCTCACTGGGGGCCCTGAGGTCAGGGGGAGACGAGGCATCAGGCGCACCCTCTGTGTTTCCAGTACCCTTCTATCCACTGCACCCCTCACCATGGCACCTCAGGGGCTAATGGAACCCCATCCCAGGGAGCTCCCAAGGCCAGAGAAGGCAGCCAAGAAGGTCCTTCCATCCCCCACCATGCCTGCACCCTCCTCCCCTCAGGAGGATAGCCCTCCCCTAAGCCTGGACAGCACCCCAGGTTCCTGGGGACTCCAAAATGGGGGCTCTGGTGCCAGCCAATCCCAGGTTCAAATCCTCTCCCAGCAACTGTCAACCTGTATGGCTGCTGTGTGGCCTTCGGCAAGTCACGCCGCGATCATGATTAGCATTCTAATTAGGATGAAATAATAATTATGAACTAAATCACCATCCTCGCCTGATGACGTAGCTCAGGCTGTGCCCAGCACAGGGCCTCATCCAGCCCTCATCATGACTCCAGACCAGTGGTTCTCAACCAAGGACAGTTCTGCTCCTCCTCTAAGGACATTTGGCAATATCTGATGACATGTTTTGTTGTCACAACTGTACAGGAGAGGGAGCACTACTGGCATCTGGTAGATCAAGGCCAGGGATGGCACTAAACATCCTCCAAAGCAAAAGACAGCCCCACACCACAAAAAAATGACCCAGCCCACAATGTCAATAGCGTCGAGACTGAGAACATCTGCCCTGGAAGTAGGTACTGCGATCGTTCCCATTCTACAGATGAGGAAACTGAGGCTCAGAGAGGCTAAGTGACTTGCCTGAGGTCACACAGCAGGTTAGTGACAGAGCCAGGACTGAAATGCGGGCAGCTGGCTGCAGAGCCCAGATTGAATCCCTCCATGGACTGGGGATGTCCTGGGTGCCAGGTGAGGGTGAAGGGGAGCCATCCTCACCCTCAAATAGATTGACCAGGGAGGAGAGGGGGAAGGCCTCCCCACCAGGAAGCTCGGCCACCTCACCAGGCCTGCACAGGGGCCTTTGCTGGGATCCGCCATGCCGGATGGTAGTAAACATCCTCCAAAACAAAAGACAGCCCCGCACCACACAGAATAACCCAGTCAACAACATCAACAGCGCTGAGGTTGAGAAAATCTGCCCTGGAGGTAGGTATTGCAATCATTCCCATTTTACAGATGAGGAAACTGAGGCTCAGAGAGGCTAAGCGACTTACCTGAGGTCACACAGCAGGTTAGTGATGGAGTACCAGGGTACCACCCGAGCGCTTACAGTGTCTCCTTCAAGCTTCACAACCACCCCCAGGAGGAAGGGATGATTACTGCCGCCCATTCTCATCTCTCTGAGCCTCGGTTTCTCTACTTGTAAAATGGGGATTGCAATAATAGCACCTCCCTTGTAGGGCTTCTGGGAGATAAGGCAGGTCAAGTGTTTCTTGGGCACCTAAGAAATATTTGATAAATGTTGGATCTTGTCACATTTAATTATCATCATCACCACTATGATATGGTCCTGATTTACCTGTCCTCCTTACTCCCCTTCCCCAAAACACACATGCACACACGTGCCAGCACTACAGCCTGACATTTTATAGCCCATGCTAAAATCCACCAAGCCCCTCTCTCATTCAATCCCCCGAAGAACCTGAACAAAGCTAGGCTATTGCTCCCACTTTACAGCTAAGGAAACGGAGGCTCTGAGAGGCCAGCTAGGGAGCAAATGGCTTTGAAGAAAACCTCTAGACTCCTAGCCCTGGGCTCCTTCCACATCACAGCACTCAGGAGTGTGTACACACTAGCTCACGTGTACACATACACATAGGCATGTGTACACACACACACACACACCCGGCTCTGCTGCTCTGTGGCAATTCCCTCCCCAAACACTGTCCTGTTCTCTGTGGTCAGAGAAAGAGTTTACTCCCTGTTCTAATTTGCCCTAAAGGCTGTTATTACACATTCCAAACTCATGCCAGTTTTAGGAGGGAGGGAAGTCGGGGATGCAGGCAGGGAGAGAGGCTGAGAGCCTGGGTGTGAGTCCACATGTGTCTCCTCTGCGTGTGACTGTCATGTACATTTCTTCCCACCTTCCTCCATGGGCGTGTGCATGTGTGTGTGCCCACTGTGAGCAGGCATGGTGGGCCCTTCGTTCCCGCACGGGCTCACAATGCCTCCTACCAGGAGCCCCTCCACAGTGGGGAAGCTCCCAGCTGCACCAGGTGTGCATCAGGGAGGCACCCAAGAACGTTCCTGCACGACTGTGAACATCCTCACACACTGACATCTTCACAACAGCGTTCATTCAGAGCAGCGGGTGTTTGTTTGTTGAGACAGGGTCTCACTCTCTCACCCAGACTGCAGTGCAGTGGCACAATCTCAGCTCACTGCAACCTCCTCCTCCCAGGCTCAAGCAATTCTCCTGCCTCAGCCTCCCAAGTAGCTGGGATTACAGAAACATGCCACTACCACTCAGCTAATTTTTGTATTTTTAGTACAGACGGGGTTTCACATGTTGGCCAGGCTGGTCTTGAACTCCTGACCTCAAATGATCTACCCGCCTCGGCCTCCCAAAGTGCTGGAATTACAGGCATGAGCCACTGCGCCCAGCCAAAGTAGCGGTTTTTGAATATGTTGGTTTTAAATCCTATATATTCAAAAGCAGGTTTATATTCAAACTCTTCTTTAGAATATATATACTGAATGGTGGTCCACACAGAGATGGCAGTTGTGTAGGATGGACAAAGAATCTGCATCTTCCTCTGGAAAGGGCCCAAGGGGCAGCAGTAGAAGCCAGCTACCTATTTATTCCACACATTTATTGAGCACCTACTATGTGCCAGGCACTGTGCTAGACTAGGGACACAGATGTGAACAGAACAGATATCAATCCCTTTGGGGGCAGACCTTCTGGTGGGGAAACAATAAACTAGACAAATCAAGCAGCAGAGTCATGTCGGATGGTGTTAAGAACTGCATAGACCAGAAGGGCTCAGGAGTGGGCAAGTTAAGGGGTGCAGGAGTCCTGAGTAGGGTGATGAGATACAGGGCTGAGCCAGGGTCCCCAGACCTTCCTTTCTGCCCTAGACAGAGACCCCAGGCTTTCCAGAAACCTGGCTTTCTGCTCTCATGGCCCCCTGAGCCGGTGGGGCACATTTTGACGTCAGGCAGACCAGAGGGTCAGATCCCAGACCCACAGCTCACTTGCTGGGTGAGTATGAGCAAGTTACCCAACCTCTCTGATCTTCACTTTCTTCAGCTGCCCTATTTTTTTTTTTTTTTTTTTTTTTTTGAGACGGAGTCTCCCTCTGTCGCCTAGGCTGGAGTGCAGTGGCGCATCTCCACTCACTGCAAGCTCCGCCTCCCGGGTTCACGCCATTCTTCTGCTCAGCCTCCTGAGTAGCTGGGACTACAGGCACCCGCCACCACGCCCGGCTAATTTTTTGTATTTTTTTAGTACAGACGGGGTTTCATGGTGTTAGCCAGGATGGTCTCGATCTCCTGACCTCGTGATCCGCCTGCCTCAGCCTCCCAAAGTGCTGGGATTATAGGCGTGAGCCACTACGCCCGGCCCTCAGCTGCCCTATTAAGGGATCGTAATAGGGTCGTTGTGAGAGGTATATACCTTGAGTCAAGTGCCTGGCATAAAGAAAGCCTCAATAAACAGCAGATTGCACAACAGATGGCTTCTCTCTGAGAATCCCGGATTCAAAGGCGGTGGAGGTCTCTGGCTCCGTCCCCATGCCCCAACTTGCGGAGGGTGGAAAAAGGGGCCCATCCTCGGGGTTACCCGCGGCTTTGCCTGATCTCATGGAAACCCTGGCAAACATTTGTCAAATCCCATCCTCCTGATTACGTGACCAAGGAAAGCTGCTTAAATCTGGGGGCAAGTTTGGGCATGCAAACCTGCTCCGCCCCAGCGGGGAGGAATCCAGGGAGCTGGTTTCTCCCGGTTCCCTCCCTTCTGGAATCAATTCATTCCACCAGGCATCAATGCAGTGGCACCTGTTTGCAGGGCACAGGGGAGACATAAAAGTGTGGAACCTCAGAGAACTCGCAGTCCAGGAGGGAAGGCTGATGGCTCTCTCTGCCTCCAGGCCTTTGCCTAGGCTGTTCCCTCCGCCTGGAATGCCCTTCCCTTCGCTGGCTGGCTCCCACTTACTCCTCAGGCCTCATGTTAAAGGGCACTTCCTCTGAAAAGCCCTCCTGTTTCCCCTGCTCTTTACTCTTAGAGTAACATGTGCCTTCCTTTACAGCACTTCCCACGATTAAACTTTTCTATATATGTATTTTTTTTTTCAAGAGAGTCTCGCTCTGTCCCCCAGGTTGGAGTGCAGTGGCATGATCTCAGCTCACTGCAACCTCCGCCTCCTGGGTTCAAGCAATTCTCGTGCCTCAGCCTCCTCGAGTAGCTGGGATTACAGGCATGCACCACAACACCCGGCTAATTTTTCGTATTTTTAGTAGAGGCAGGGTTTTGCCATGTTGGTCAGTCTGGTCTTGAACCCCTGACCTCAGATGATCCACCTGCCTCAGCCTCCCAAAATGTTGGGATTATAGGTGTGAGCCACCGCACCCGGCCTATATATTATTCTTTGATTCATCTTCTCTCTTCACCTCCAGAGTTTTAGTTCCATGTGGTAGGGACTATTTCGTGTCCCCTGTGTCCCCAGCATTCAGCATGGTGCTGAAGCAAAATGAGGTGTCAATGAATATTTGGTTTTTTTAGGCTGTAAGATCAGGGACCTGAAGTTCCAGGCAGGGTTGCAGAGCAAGGGCAGCCAGAATCCTGATGGGGAGGGGGAAAGGCTGTGAGGAGGAGGAGGAGGAAGATAAAGGGCAGAGGAGGTGTCAAGGACAAAGGTGTAGAGGGGAAAGTGCAGGGTGCACAGAGGAATGGTGTGGCCTGGGGCACAGGGAGAAGGAAAGCAGAAGAGATGGGTGAGTGGGTGGGCAGTGGGGAGGTGGGTGGGGGTTGGAATCCATGGGTAGGAAGGAGCCCACAGAGAAGGTGCTCAGGCTCCCAGACAGACCCAGTGTGCTTCTACCTCCCTCCACCCTGGGGCTCCTTAGCCAATTTGGGGGCCCCCACTTCCTGTGGTACCCTCAAATAAACACAACTGTGAGTGCCTGCCATTCCAAATCAGTCTTGCCGGGGACATGTGGATAGGAAGGTACTAGGAAGACAAGGACTCTGAGCTTTGCTGTTACTAGAGAGAAAATCCCAGACCTGTCCACCCCCTCCCCACCTTCCAGGTAAGAAAACTGAGGCTCAGAGAGGCGAAGTCATTT
Organism: Homo sapiens; assembly: GCF_000001405.40. Lineage (NCBI taxonomy): Eukaryota > Metazoa > Chordata > Mammalia > Primates > Hominidae > Homo > Homo sapiens. Next base: position 109,822,542 of record NC_000012.12, read on the forward strand.
GTCTGGCATTGCCTTGCTCCAGAAAGGGGGAGGCAGGATTAGAACCCATGCATCCCCGGGACCTGCGCCTTTGATGGACACTTTACAAAGACAAGGGAACTCTGGGAGGGAGAAGCTGGAGAAAGAATGGAGTGGGGGATGGGTCGCAGTCCCTGACGAACCACCAGTTCACCAGCTCTGGGCAAGTCACCTGGCCTGCCCATGCCTCGGTTTCCTCACCTGAAAAATGGCAATGATCCTAGCACCTACCCCAAGGGAACTGTCGTGAGGGTTACATGAGATAAAGCATGCAAAACACTGAGCCCAGTGCCTGGTACAGAGCATGCATTCAGTCAAGCATGGCTGCTGTTGGAATCATCAGTATCAGTGTACTATTTATTAGTATCATTAGGGGAACAGATGAACAAAAGGACTGAGGACCAAGGAAGGCAATGACTCCTAGAGAAGGCAGAGCGGCCAGATCCAGAGCCTTGGAGGTAGACTCTGGCAGCCACCTCGAAGTGGCGGCTGCTGGGAACAGCCGGCTGGGAGCTCAACTCCTTGGCCAGGCGAAACCTACTGCCTGCCAGGCTACCCCACGGCTCCCAGGCACTTGGCAGGCGGCAGCAGTAGGGGGGCATCATGCCATGCCCAGCACCTTCCCTGGCCAGCCTGTATTTACCTAGCAGGTCTCGGCCCAGCCCGCTTCCTGTTTGCTGCACAGTGGCCGCCTGTCCAGGACAGACAGAGCCCCAGTGTCCTGCTGGGCCCCCACCCCATGCACTCACACCACCCAGGCAGGGCAGGTCTGGGGTGACTCACCGCGCCCCACGGAGGGCAAGGCCAGCGTGGCCACGGCAGTCATTTGGTCATTCTGCAAGCCCTTGGCTGGAGGGAGGCCGGCTGACAGCACACACAGATGCCCCTCTGAGCTTTCACAGGGACCAAGTCATTTCCAAGGGTCCCGGCCCCTGGGTAGGAGCCACCAAGAAGCGGTGTGGCTTAATGGTTAAGAGCATGCACCTTGTAGACACAAAAGGCCACATATTGCAGGATTCCATTTATATGAAATGCCCAGAACAGGCAAATCCACAGAGACAGAAAGCAGATTAGTTGTTGCCAGGGGCTGGGAGTGGGGAGTGGTGACTGCTAATGGGTACAGAGTCCTTTTTTGGGGTGATGAAAATGTTCTGGAATGAGATAGTGCTGATGTCTGTACAACTCTGAATACACTAAGAAACCAACTGAATTGTACGTTTTAAAAGACTGAGTTATGAGTATGTGAATTACATCTAAATGACCCTTCCAGGCTTAGTGACCTCAGGCAGGTCACTTCCCTCCCAGAACCTCAGTTTCCTTGTTGCAACATGGGAATGTCATGGAGATTAAGCACACATAAAGGGTTTCTTTTTTTTCTTTCTTGTGTGTGTGTGTGTGTGTGCGCATGTGTGTGTGACAGAGAGAGACAGGATCTTGCTCTGTCACCCAGGCTAGAGTATAAGTGGCACAATCTTGGCTCACTGCAACCTCCGTCTCCCAGGTTCAAGCAATCCTCCTGCCTCAGCCTCCCAAGTAGCTGGGATTACAGGTGCCCACCGCTGCGCCAGCTAATTTTTGTATTTTTAGTAGAGACGGGGTTTCACCATGTTGGCCAGGCTGGTCTCGAACTCCTGACCTCAGGTGATCCGACCGCCTCGGCCTCTCAAAATGCTGGGATTACAGGCGTCGGCCACCGTGCCCAGCCACATAAAGGGTTTCAAACAAGGTCTGGCACGTAGTAGGAGCTCAAGGATACAAAGTCACTACCCCAGGAGGCTCCAGGTCCTTCTTCCCTTATCTCGCTTCCTTCCCATCAGAGCATAGCCCCAGGATTCCACCCTCTCAGCCAGCCCTGCTTGAGAACATGCTACTCAGCTCCAGCCCAGGAGGAGGGAGGCATCAAATTCTTAGTCCGGCCGGGCGCAGTGGCTCACGCCTGTAATCCCAGCACTTTGGGAGACCGAGGTGGGCGGATCACTTGAGGTCAGAAGTTCAAGACCAGACTGGCCAACATGGTGAAACCCCATCTCTACCAAAAATACAAAAATTAGCCGGGTGTGGTAGCATGCACCTGTAATCCCAGCTACTCGGGAGGCTGAGGCATGAGAATCTCTTGAACCCAGGAGGCAGAGATTGCAGTGAGCAGAGATAGCACCACTGCACTCCAGCGGGGGCGACAAGAGCGAGACTCCATCTCAACAAAACAAAACCTTAGGCCCGCCTTCTCTCTGGCCTAGCCCCTCTCCTAGAGGATGGTCACAGCCACGGAGAACTCCAGAGAGGATTCTATAGTCTGAGAACGTTGCCTGATCAATGCTTTACATCTCATCTGCCACTCACTGGCTGTATGGTCTTGCACAAGTCACATCTCATCTCTGGGCCTTGGTTTCCTTATCTGTAAAATGGGAGTAATAATTACTACGACCTGGGTGGGGTTAAGCCGTATTTGCTCCATAGTTATTTGGTGTATAGCACATTCATGCTTTAAACTAAAAAATAAGGCTGGGTGCAGTGGCTCACACCTGTAATCCCAACACTTTGGGAGGCCAAGGTGGGAGGATCGCTTGAGCCCAGGAGTTCGAGACCAGCCTGGGCAAAATGGTGAGATCCCATCTCTACAAAAAATAAATAAATTTATTTATTTTTTAAAATATTAAAAAATAAAATAACAGCTCCTACCCCAAAGAGCTATTGTGAGGATTAAATGTGATAATTCAAGCCTTCAGTGCAGTGCCCAACAAACACCAAGTGTTCAATGAACTTGAACTTATTTTTTAGTTTAAAGCATGAATGTACTGTATACCAAATAACTATGGAGCAAATACAGCTTAACCCCACCCAGGTCGTAGCAATTATTACCCCCATTTTACAGATAAGGATGTTCAATGGCTGCTTTGCCATTCTTGCTAACATTCCCTCAGTTTGCAGTGGGAGGTGGGGGATGATGACATTGAGGTCCAGGGAGGTCAGAACTGGGCAGGCACTGGAACCCAGACTTCCCGGCTCCAAAACCAGGGCTCGTGACTGCAGAGACCTCACCTTTGGAAAGGGTTTCCTCGCCACCTCATTTCCATCTTCTGTCACCTTTAGAAGGCTGTCAGGACAAGGGCTGCCTCCCAGCTGGGAGACTAAGGACCAGAAGGGACAGGACACTCGTCCATGCATACGTTCCTCTACCCCACTTCTAGGAGCAAAAGTCCCGAGTTTGCCAAATCAGAGGAGGGGGAAGAGGGCAGGTGCCCGTTATGAGTGGATGGGGCAGGAGTCGGGGAAGGGAGCCCAAGGCAGCAGAAAACCAGTTTGAGATCCTTCCTCTGTCCCAGCCCACCTCAACACCAGTCTGTGCCAACAGTAAGCTGCTGCCTCAGGGGTTAACTGCTTGGAATTATGACTGAGGCTAATGCCTGCAATGTACCATCAGTAATGCCTACCCTCCATGGCACACTTCACACAGCACCTCCCATTTGGTTGTTTTTTGTTTTGAGACAGGGTATGGCTTTGTCACCCAGGCTGGAGTGCAGTGGCACAATCATAGCTCACTGCAGCCTCGACCTCCCAGGCTCAAGCAATCCTCCCACCTCAGCCTCCCCAGAAGCTGGGACCACAGGCATGTACCACCATTCCTACTTTTAAAATTTATTTTTTGTAGAGATGGAGTCTCACTCTACTGCCCAGGTTAGTCTCCAATGCCCGGGCTCACGTGATCCACACACCTTGGCCTCCCAAAGTGTTGTGATTACAGGCGTGAACCACCATGGCTGGCCCCTTCTATCTATTTTAATCCAAATAATAACTATAGACATTAAATATTATTGTCTCCATTCCCAGATGTATAAAGTCAGTCCCGGGGGAAAGGAGGTAAGGGCTGACATTTATCCAATACCTATCATATGCTAAGCACTTTCACATTTCTCTCTCATTTGAGGTCGGTGTTATTGTTATCATTTCACAGATGAACAAACTGAAGATCAGAAAGAATGAGATTTAACTGAGTCCACAACGCTACAGGAAGTGAATGTGGCTAGACTTCCAACCATCTGCTTTTAAATCCATTTGAGTTCATTCATCCCTTTGGGGGCTACCATGCCCTCTCCCTAGGACCCCCCTTCTCAACGCCATATCCCTTGGAACTCAGCAGGACAAGATGGCACAGTGGTGACAGGCTTGGAGTCTGAATCTTGACTTTGCCATTTAGTAACTGCGTGGCCCCAGACGGATCACTTGACCTCTCCGAGCTTCAGTTTCCTCACCTGTAAAAGGGAGCTCATCACAGTTCCCACTGCTGGATTACTTGTCATTGTGGGTATCAGAGTCTCACAAAGTGGCCTCAAAGCACTGCGTGTGGAATGATGTCACTCGGACAAAAGCTCTAGGGCGGAGGGACTCCCTTCTGGTAACTGCTGAGGCCCAGATGCCTGGAACAGGTCCTGGCACATAGCAGCTGCTCAAGATGTATTTGCTGGATGAATGAATGAATGAATGAATGAACAGAGGAAAGGAGTGAAAGACGGGCTTAGTCATTCTCTCCAGGGCAGACAGGTCTCCAAAGCGAACCTCTGCCCAGCTAACTAATTAGCTTCCTCCCATCCATTTTTTAACAGACAGCTTACGGAGCACCTGCTATGTGTGGGGTTTTCTGGCCTATAAGACCAACACCTCTCATGAGGACAACTATCGTGAGCCCATTTTATAGATGAAGAAATTGAGGCTCAACAAGACCAGGACACTCACTCAAGCACACTTGGTCTCAGAGCCAGAGCCTGTATCTGAGCAGGTGCTTCCTTCTGATGCCCTGCCTGGCTGGCTTGTCCAGTCACTCATTCCTTCCTTCATTCATCCCTTCACTCTATCTACAGGTATTCCTGAGCCCCTCCTGTGTGCCAAGCAGGGACAGGAGTGAGCCAGACCCATGGGTCAGTCAACCCCATGCCCCCTGTCCCACCCTCACCTGCTGGGGTCTCAGCCCAAAGCCCATGGAACCCACCCTCCATAAACACACACACACACACACACTACACACAAATACATATACACATTACACACATATACACATACATACACACAATATACACACATACATACATATACACGCAAACATACACACACATACACACATGCACACATAGACATTCACATACACACATACACATGTATATACATACACATATGCACACACATACACACAGACATACATATACACACATACACACATATATACACAAACATACACATAAACATATAGTCATACATATACACACATACACATATATACACATATACACATACACATATAGACATACATATACACACATACACATACACACACAGACACACATACGCACATACACACGCACATCAATATACACACACATACACACGTACACAAACACACACACAGGGAATGGTCCCAGAAGGTGGCCAGCCCACTCGGTCAACCGGGTGGAACCCAGGCCACTCCACCCTCAGGGGAAAACGGGCGCCTGGTGAGACTGAGGAGCTCTTTGTGCAAGGGGCAGGGTGGGTGGACAAGAGGGGCTGCTGTTACTCACTAACCAAAGAAATAGAAGGATATTCCCGTTTGGTCAATGGCCCGCCTGTCTGTCCCCTGAGCCCCCGCCTCCTTCTGTGGCCTTTCCAATGCCCTGACCTCATCTGGAGACCGGCAAGGGCTTCCTGTGCGCCTGGTGTGGTCTCGTGTGATCCTCCCTCACCGATGAGGAAACATGCTCAGAGAAGTGATGTAACCTCCTTGGGGTCACACAGCCGGCAGTGGCCAGGGCTCGGGGCAGAAAGGGGAAACCAATGCTCAGGAAGGGGCTAGGGGTGGGAAGGAAGTCAGAGTCACATTGAAAGTGAGGCCCTGTCCCTTCCTCATTCCTGTCCGGCCACTGGGGTGCCAGCTCATGGGCTGCAAGGGCACCCGAGGTTGAAGGAGCCCAGGCCAGAACAAGAGCAGCAGCCAGAATAACCCAAATCCCTCCTCAAGTTGGCAGAGCTCTGACCTCAGCAAAGCCCAGGAACAGAGAGCTTAAGCCACTTTCTGAGGTCACAGAGCAGCAACTGGCGGAGCTGGGAGGTAAGCTAAGGTGGCTCAGACGCCAAGGTGGGTGAGCCTAGCGTAGCTTTCCACGCAAGAAGCTAAGCTGGCCACTGGGCTTTTCGTGGACCCAAGGACACCAGTGTCACTCAGATCTGGCTTCCAGCTCCAGCTCTGCCATGAGCCAGCTGGGCATCCCTGGGTAAATTGCTTCCTCTCTGAGTCTCGATTTCCTCAGCTGTAAAATGGGGCTCAGCATTCCTGCCCCTGCCCACCCCCGGCAGTGGGGAAGCTGTGACACCATCAAAATGAACATCAGCCCTCACACCTGTAATCTGAGCACTTTGGGAGGCCAAGGCAGGAGGGTTACTTGAGCTCTGGAATTCCAGACCAACCTGGGCAACATAGTGAGACCCCTGTCTGAAAAAAACCTTTTTTTTTAATAAGCTGGGTGTGTCCCAACTACTTGGGAGGCTGAAGTAGGAGGATCTCTTGAGCCCAGGAGTTCGAGGCTGCTGTGAGCTATGATCACACCACTGCATTCCAGCCTGAGCAACAGACTGAGACCCTGTCTCTAAAAATAATAAATAAAAAAAAAAGTGAACAACAGGCAATAGATGCTGGTTTTAAACTAAACACTCAAGGTTGTGCTGAAGACTGTCCACAACCTCCCAGCAAGGCAGGCATTACCTTATCCCCATTGTCCAGATGAGGAAACTGAGGCCAAAGGAATAATGGAACTTATTGGAAGCTGGGATTTGAACCTGGGCAGCTGGGCTCCAGCCCTAGTTTTTAAGCATTAAATCAGGAAAGTAAAAAAAGTTGACAGCTCCTGGCACTCAGTCAATGCTCATAAATATTTCATTGCTGAAAACATATCATTATTTGCCCAAATGCAAGTCTAGCTTTGCCCCCAATACCTTCCACCCACCCACCTGGCATGGAGGGGCTCTCTGAGGATGTCTGGGGGATAAGCTGGAAGAAAACATGCCCTGGAATGGGCCTGGGGACAAGGGGAGCTGACACGGGCTGAGGCAGAAGAGCTGTGCTTCAGAGCCCCATCCACGTGCCTTGGGTCATCCCTGCAAAGTGGGATGAGAGTCCCTTTGACACAGGAGGAAATGGAAGCCCAGAGAGGCCAGGTGGCTTCCCTGAGCTCCTCCAGCGGGGAATAGCAGGCCTGTCTTAAACATGCGGATGCAGTTTAAGCCCAGGCCTGTCTGCAGTTCAGGCTCTTTGTTTGTTTTGAGACAGGATCTCTTGCTCTGGACTGCAGTGGCACAATCGCAGTTCACTGCAACCTCTCACTCCTGGGCTTAAGCGATCCTCCCACCTCAGCCTCTCAAGTAGCTGGCACTACAGGTGCGTGCTACCACGTTCGGCTAATTTTTGTATTTTTTCTAGAGACAGAGTTTCACCATGTTGCCCAGGCTGGTCTCAAACTCACGGGCTCGACCGATCCACCTGCCTTGGCCTCCCAGAGTGTTGGGATTACAGGTGTGGGCCACTGCACCCGGCCAACTCAGGTTCCTATCTCTGGACTGCAGAGTAGCTCCCCCATGACCCCAGGCACCCCAATGAGGGTCCAGACAAATGGGGACGGGCCACCTTACAGGTGAAGGGATGGATTTGCAATCACACAAATGGGATTCAGGTCCCAGCTCTGCCCCTTCTCAGCTGAGAGAACCCAGGCAAGAGATTTCACCCTCTAGACCTCATTCTGCCCTCTGAAAAATAGAGACAAAAATAGTTTTGTATCCAAATGTGCTGAGGGTGCTTGACTCAGTGCTTGGCACACAGTAAGTGCTCAATAAAGGCTTGCCACCATCATAATAGTTGTTAATGCAACCCAGGGTTGGCTAAAGCCAGACAGAACCTTGTACCCAGAGTTCATAACAGCAGCCACTTATCTCAAGAGATCGGAATTAATCTTTAACAGGTGAATTCTGCTCCAAATGGGCGATGTGGAGCATTCCAGAGGGCCCACTGGCATGAAATAAATGTTATCTTGGCTCCCCAGACCCTATCTGTGACAACAAGAGGAGCTGTTACCTGGGTCCCTATAATTTGGAGAACGGACTGGAGTGTCTTTCCCAAAGTCAAATGGGGGAAACTGAGGCAGACAGCAGGGTCAAGGGCCTGCATGGAGTAGAGACACCCACTTCATGTAGACCCCATCCCCCTAGGAACAGAGGAAGGAACTCAAAGGACTTTGACCATCTCAAAAGTATTTGTTCAGACAACCATGCCATAGATACTGACTGAGCACCTACTATGTGCCAGGCACATGAGGCTCAGTCTTGTGTGTTTCCTTCCCTCCTACATCTCCTTCCAGCTGCCGCTCTCCACTCAGAGCTTGGATGACTTCCCCAGCCTTGGGGCCAGCCTCTCTGTCTGAGCTCCTCCAATCTTTCCCACTCTGCAGCCACAGGGACCTTTCTAGAACAGACAAACAACCGTGTCACTCCCAGGCAGGACTTCTGGGCCTCTGGGTCTGATTTAGCTCCTGCCTGTCTGATCCCTCACCCTTTCCAGTCACGTCACAAACTCCAGACAAACAGAACTATTTCTCTGCTCTATAAACCCCAGGTGTAGCCACCTGGTAACAGGTAAAAGTCATATCTCTGCTAGTGCCATTCTCTTTGCCTGAATACTCTTTCCTCTACTTCTGCATTTATTCTTTAAGGTGCGGCTTAAACACTACCTTGACCAAGCCCTCGTGGGTCCTTCCTGGGCCAGTCCTCCTACCCTACGGCATTCTCCCCTGACCCCATCCATTCCACAGCATACATTTACTAAGCGTCGGCCATCCATGCACACCTTGCTAGATGCTCACAAGTCAGGTGTGGGAGCTCCTCCCCGGGGGGCCACAAGGGAAAATCCTTCTTGCCTTCACACGCCTCAGGCTACAGCGAAGCTGGGATTGGAAGCATCTCACTGCTCCAGTGCCCAGCCCAGAGCTGGCACAGGTGAGCTTGCAGAGAGCATTTGCTGGAGGAGGGAGTAAGTGGCAGAGGCCCAGTTGGCACCAGATAAGGCAGGAGGAACCTCCACAGCCCCTTCCCCAGATATAAGGTATCTGGGTTTCACCTGGGGAATCCCAGCCATCCTCACCGGAGCTCATGTGAAACATCCCTCCTGGGGGCATCACACCCTTTTTGTTCAGGCAACCATTCCCTGGTTACCTCCATTTCAAAACAGCCCCACCTTGATCTTACAAAGTGAACCGCCCTGAACTATGACTGCCATTTGCCATTTGTGTCTGGGACCCCTTCCGCGTGCAATTCACCAATCAAGGTGGGTGTCCAGGCTTTCTGGTTCCCATCATTCTTCAAACAGAATGAACTAGAGAAATGTGGAAATGGCCAATTGACTTTTTTCACCCTCTTTGTTAAGAAAATGTTTGGGGCAACGACAACTGGTTAAACATTGATGGCAGCCAACAGTGGCTGTGCCAGGTTCCTGGAAGGTCATCGGTCCTCACGACAGCCCTGGGGGCTTGCCCTCAGGCACCCCAGTATTACAGAGGAGAGAACACAAAGGCTCAGACAGCTAAGGGACCAGGCCAAGGTCACACAGCAGGGGACTGCAGAGCACACCCCGGGCCCCACACAGGCCCGCTCTTAGCCCCGCAGATAACCCAGGCCTGACCTTTCTACCCTTGTTCCCCCAAAAGCCCACCTCGTCACCCTCCTCAGGAGCCCGGGGAGTCCCGACTTACCCTCTGCCCTTGCTCCGGAGCCAAAGTGGCAAAGCTTAAATCCTCAAGCGGTTCTTAGCATCCCAGAACAAAGCTCCCACAGGGTATCTGCCTAACATTTCAGGGGTTCACGGCCCCTCTGCCCCCAGCAGAGGCTCTTGTTTTAGAAGCTGAGCCAGAACAGCCACAGGGCCCACCTCTGCCCTGCCACTTCCCAAGCACCCCGGGGGCACCAGGCCCTGTGTGCAGAGCTGGCCCCAGGACAGGCCACCTGGTGTGGTGGGAAGGGCTTTGGGGCTGGATAGTCCCTGGGTTTAAATCCCAATTGTCTAGATCCCCGACCTAAGCCTCAGTTTCCCCATCTGCAAAACAGAGAGGACAGACAGAGGGAACAGCTGGGGCAGGCTGGAGCAGTGGGTGGCTCGATGAATGCATCTGTGGTTGGTGTTTCCAGGCAAGCGGGGAGTGTGGGAGTCTCTCTCTCCCCCACCCCCACCCCCGCTACCCACCCCCAGGAGCCACCCGCCCCCGGGACGTCCTGAGAGTCCAGGGCAGAACTAGAGGTTAAAGATTTTCATGCCTCTTGGAGGAAACAGCCGTCTCTCCGGGACTCAGTAACCAAGAAGAAGCCTTTGGAAGCTCCAGACTCCAAATTCCCTCCGACATGCTCAGGGGCCAAGGGCAAACCTTAGGTCCCCCGAAATCCCTCTTCCAAGTCTCCTAAGGTGGGCTGCAAGGCTCCGGGCCTTTGGTTCCCTGGCTTGGGGTCTCAGGGAACCGAACCGCCCTCCCCCCAGACCTGCTACCCCAGGCCCCACGTTGGTGCCCATTTCACAGGTGATAAAACCGAGACCCAAAGAGCCGGTGTCCGGCCCAAGGGCACTTAGCTGAGAGGCTGGCGCCTGCGGAACCTGGTGCCTTCCGTCTCCCGCGCCCCTGGCCCGCATTTTGGAGCCTCGGGACCCCCCGGAGCCGGACGGGCCACGGAGATGTCCCCAGGGGCGCGAGGGGACCTCGGCTGAGCCGCCCCTCCCGGGCCCGGGCCCCACTTACCTCCGGGACGGCTGGGCGCCGGCGGCCGGGAGATCCGCGCTTCCTGAATCCCGGCCGGCCCGCCCGGCGCCCGTCCGCCCGCGGGTCCCTCCTCCGCCGGCTCAGGTTCCAGCCGCGCGCCGCCCCCGGCCAGCTCCCCGCCCACCCGCCGGCTCGCGGACCCCGCCGAGCGCAGGCCCTAGAAGGGGCGGCCCCTACTCGCACCCCGCCCGCCCAGCGAGGGCCTCCCCTGCGGGGGAGGTGCAGGGCCAGGGCCTCAGTTTCCTCGCCTGGAAAATGGGTGTCGCGATCCCCGGATAGAGCGGCAGACGGTCTTTGGAGAGGGCTCTAGTTGGAATCGGCTCCGATTCGATCTTGCTCCGTGACTTCGGGCCGCCCTGGGACTGTGTCCTAGTCTCTAAATGGGCGTCCCGGCCCAGTCCTCCACGTGTTTGCTCATTCATTCATTCAGCAGACAATTTCCTCCGAGGCGTTGAAGGAGGTCCCTACCCTCGGGTATGGCCCATAGAGATGGTTCAGGGGTAAATAAATGTGAGCTGCTCTCCTTGGTCTTCACCCAGTGCTTACTGCGAAGCCTGCCTCGGAGTAGGCCATCAATGTTTTGTTGCTGTTGTTTTTGAGACAGGGTCTCACTCTGTTGCCCAGGCTGGAGTGCGGTGGCGTGATCAGGAATCACTGCAGCCTCAACCACCAGCGTTCAAGCAATCCTCCCGTATCAGCCTCCCTAGTAACTGAGACCACAGACGCCTACCACCATGCTTGGCTAATTTTATTTAAATTTTTTGCAGAGATAGGGTCTCACTATGTTGCCTAGGCTGGTCTCAAACTCCAGGCTCAAGCGATCTACCCACCTCGGCCTCCCAAAGTGCTGGGATTAGAGGTCTGAGTCACCGTGCCTGGCTCAATGCGTTTTTGTTTATTTTTTTTATTATTATTATTATTTTTGATACATGTTCTCCCTTTGTCACCCAGGTTGAAGTGCAGTGGCATGATCACGGCTCACTACAGCCTCAAACTCCTGGCCTCAAGAGATCCTCCCACCTCAGCCTCCTGAGCAGCTGGGAGTACAGGCATGCGCCACCACACCCCACTAATTTTTATTTTTTTGTAGAAGGGGGGGTGGGGGAGGGCAGCCGGTCTACAACTCCTGGCCTCAAGTGATCCTCCCACTTCAGTCTCCCAAAGCACTGAGAGTATAGGCATGAGCCACCACACCTACCCATGTATTTTCTTTTATCAGATAACAAAGGTGGGCCCCAACACATAGCCATACCCTCTACCCAGCACTGAGTCCACTTGAATACCTCCACAGGATGGGCAGCTCACTTCCTCCAGGGTGGTTGGAAAGCCTAGCAGGCCCACAGCTTGGCTCTGTGACTCTCTAACCCAGCAGCCCTATGCAAGTCCCTTCACCTTTGTGCCTCAGTGCCTCTACATCCCCCTGTAGAGTGGGGCATACAAAAGTCCTCACCTCACAGTCGCAGTGAAGATGCTGGGAGCATCCAGGCTGTGCAGAGCCCTTTTTTTTTTTTTTTTGAGACAGAGTCTTACTCTGTCGCCCAGGCTGGAGTTCAGGGGTGTGATCTCAGCTCACTGCAACCTCTGCCTCCTGAGTTCAAGCGATTCTCCTGCCTCAGCCTCCTGGGGGCTGGGATTACAGGCATGCGCCACCACGCCAGGCTAATTTTTTGTATTTTTAGTAGAGACAGGGTTTCACCATGTTGGCCAGGCTGGTCTTGAACCCCTGACCTCAGTTGATCCACCCACTTTGGCCTCCCAAAGTGCTGGGATTACAGGTGTGAGCCGCCGTGCCCGGCCCAGAGCCATGCCATTTTCATCATTAGTGTTTTCACTAAATTGAGCTGACTCAGGGACTGTGGGGTAGCTCCTTCCTCCTCAGCTTGAAAATAGCAGCATCTCTCCTGAGGTCCAACAGCTGGAAAGTGAAATTTTAGAATTGCTGGGTGGGGAGGCGAAAGAGAGAGAGAGAGAGTGTGTGTGTGTGTGTACCCCTGAATAGGAGTGATGTGTTCACCTCCAGCGTGAAACATTTACAAAGAAACAAACCCTAATAATTAACTCACTGAGCACAGAAGCCTAGGGGATGAGAGGGAGAACAGGCTGTGAGGTAGGGTTTGCTCTACCCATTTTGCAAGTGGGAAACTGAGGCTTGGAGAGGAGTATGGCCTCTCCAAAAGCTGCTCCCTCCATGGTGGGGGTTGGGGTGGGAAAGAGAACCCTCTGAGGGTCCGGAGTAAACAGGCAGATGTCTGGCAGTGGAGAGGAAGGTAAACACAGGGCCCCTCACACCTCCCTGACAGACAGCTATCTGCTGGGGGCCCTCAGGGCTGGGGCTGGGGCTGGGCCAGGTTGAGAGTGGAGGAGTGAGTCTGGGACCCATTTCTGCAGAAAGGCCTGTCTCAATTTAAAGAAAATGGCAAGGGTGATTCCAGCCATAAGGCAGCTGATGTTGGGGACTGGAACTGGGGGAGATGGGGCCAGGGATGGCGACCTCCTCTTCTCTAAGCTCAGAGGGAAGGGGCCTGAGCGCTCAGCATCATCATCACTAACCCAGCTCTTTCCTGATCCCCATTTCACAGATGGGGCAACTGAGGCCCCCATGTAGGGAAGTGACTCATCTTGGGCTAAGCAGCTGGAGCTTGGCCTCTGCACCAGACACTGGGGTTCAAATCCTGCCCTGCCGCTGATGGGAGAAGGAGCTGTGGTGGGAGCTGTGGGCAAGAGCCTCCCTCTCTCTCTGTGCCTCAGTTTCCTCACCTAAAAAATGGGTACCAGTGTCCATGAAGCAAGGGAACGTGTTCATGACCACAGGTCTAGCACCTGGCACTTAGTAGGTGCTTTAAAAATACTGGTTGATGGGTCAGGCGAAGTGGCTCATGCCTGTAATCCCAGCACTTTGGGAGGCTGAAGTGGGCAGATCAACTGAGGTCAGGAGTTCGAGACCAGCCTGGCCAACATGATGAAACCCCGTCTCCACTAAAAATACAAAAATTAGTTGGGCATGGTGGTGGGCACCTGTAATCCCAGCTACCTGGGAGGCTGAGACAGAATTGCTTGAACCTGGGAGAGGGAGGTTGCAGTGAGCAGAGATCGTGCCACTGCACTCCAGCCTGGGCAACAGAGAGCGACTCCATCTCAAAAAAAAAAAAAGTCCTGGTTGATGGAGCTGGGGGAGAGGAGAATGGGAGGTTGCTGTTTGTTGGGCGTAGGGTTTCAGTTTTGCAAGATGCAAAGAGTTCTGGAGATGAACGAGGGTCACACAACAATATGAATATACTTTTTAAGTTTAATTTTTAATCTTTTTTTTTTTATTTTTAGAGAGAGACAGGGTATTGCTCTGTAGCCCAGGCTGTAGTGCAGTTGCCTGCTCATAGCTCACTGCAGCCTCAAATTCCTAGGTTCAAGCGATCCTCCTGCCTCAGCCTCCTGAATAGCTGGGACTATAGGTGTGTGTCACCAAGCCTGGCTTTTTAAATTTTATTTTTTGTACAGGTGAGGTCTCGCTATGCTGCCCAAGCTGGTCTCAAACTCCCGTGCTCAAGTGATCCTCATAACCTGGCCTCTCAAAACATTGGGATTACAGGCATGAGCCACTGTGCCTAGCCAGAAATAATGTTTCCTCTTAGGGAAGGAAAAACTTTCAAGGCCCTCAGCATTGGCTGTGAGTCATGTGGCAGCCACATGTGGGGCGCAGCCTTGCTCTCCACGTAGCTCCTGGACTGCCCCAGGTGGACTCAGCTACCTCCCCTAAGAAAGGTTCCTGGGCAGCAGCCAAGGGTCTGCATTTACCAAGTGCTTACTGTATGCCAGGTCCAGTGCCAGATGCTGGGGAGAGATTGGTGAGCCAGACAGGTCAGGATCTCAGGGACTTTATACCCAGGGTACCCAGTTATAAAAACAAGACACGTGCACCTCACTTTACAGTTGGCACAGTCCTGATCCTGCCACTAACTCAGTTCATCTTTTGACAGCCTGGAAAGGAGGAATTCTTCCACCATTTTATAGATAATGACACAAAGAGGCCACTTGTCTGAGATCATCCCACAACTGGTAAGATTTGAACCCAAGCCCAGCAGACTCTACAGTGTAGCATGACCAGCAGGAATATTTTCCTGGCCAGGTGCGGCGGCACACACCTGTAATCATAGCATTTGGGGAGGCTAAGGCAGGAGAATCACTTGAGCCCTGGAGGTCAAGGCTGCAGTGAGCTGTGTTCAGGCAGCTACACTCCAGCCTGAGCAACAAAGTGAGACCCTGTCTAGGAAAAAAAGAAAAAAAGAATATGATCTCAAAAAGACAGACCATAAGTGTGGATGAGGAAGTGGAGAAGCTGGAATCTTCGCACACTGCTGGTGGGAATGTGTAATGGAGTGGCTGCTATGGAAAACGGTCTGGCAGTTCCTCCAAATATTAAATCTAGAGTTACTGCCAGGCACGGTGGCTCCCGCCTGTAATCCCAACACTTTGGGAGGTCAAGGCGGAAGGATCACTTGAGGCCAGGAGTTTGAGACCAGCCTGGCCAACACGGTGAAACCTCATCTCTAATTAAAAAAAAAAATACAAAAATTAGCCGGGCATGATGGTGGGCACCTGCAATCCCAACTACTCAGGAGGTTGAGGCACAAGAATTGCTTAAGCCCAGGAGGCAGAGGCTGCAGTGAGCTGAGATTGTGCCACTGCACTCCAGCCTGGGCAACAGAGTGAGATCCTGTCTCAAAAAAAAAAAAAAAATCTGGAGTTCCCATATGACCCAGCAATTCCACCCCAGAAATATAGCCAAGAGAAATGAGAACTTACGTCCATAGAAAAACTTGAATGTTCATAGCAGCATTATTCATAATAGCCAAAAAAAGAAAACAACTCAAATTCTCAATGGATAAACAAACACAGTATATCCACACAAAGGAATACTATTTGGCAATAAAATGAATGGTTACTGAGTCATGCAACAACATGGATGAACCTTGGAAGCAGGATGCTGAGTGGCCAGACACAAAAGGCCGCATATTACATAATTCCATTTATATGAAATGGCCAGAAGAGGCAAATCTATAGAAACAGAAAAGAGCTGAGTGGTCGTCAGGGGCTGGGGGGAAGGGAGGATTTGGGGGGCCAAGGGTAATAGCTAAAGGGTATGGGTTTTCTTTTTCTTTTTCTGTCGCACAGGCTGGAGGGCAGCAGTGCAACCACAGCTCACTGCACCCTCTAACTTCTGGGTTCAAACCATGCTCTCACCTCAACCTCCTGAGTAGCTGGGACTGCAGGCGCATACCACCACACCCAACCAAATAGGATGATGCAAATATTCTAAAATTGACTGGTGATGGTTGCTCATATGTATGACTATACTAAAAACCACTGAAGGCCAGGCACAGTGGCTCATGCCTGTAATCCCAGCACTTTGGGAGGCCAAGGTGGGAGGATCACGAGGTCAGGAGTTCCAGACCAGCCTGGCCAACATGGTGAAACCCCATCTCTACTAAAAATATAAAAATTAGTCGGGCGTGGTAATGAGCGCCTGTAATCCCAGCTACTCCGGAGGCTGAGGCAGGAGAATCGCTTGAACCTGGGAGGCAGAGGTTGCAGCGAGCTAAGATCGCATTGTTGCACTCCAGCCTGGGCAACAGAATGAGACTCAAAAAAATTTAAAAATTAAATTAATAAATAAAATAAAAACCATTGAAGAGTACACTTTAAGTGGATGAATTGTATGGTATATGACTATCTTAATAAAGCTGCTGTGAAATTTTCTTTTTAAAAAAAGAAGAAGACAGCCAGGTACAGTGGCTCATGCCTGTCATCCCAGCACTTTGGGAGGCTGAGGCAAGAGAAACGCTTGAGGCCAGGAGTTCAAGAGCAGCCTGGGCAACATAGTGAGAAACCACTTCTACAAAAAAAAAAAACAAGAAGAAGAAGAGGAGGAGGAGGAAGAAGAAGAAGACATGATCTCTAGGATCAAAACGATTGGGTGTGGCTCTATCATACTTCTAAGCTGTGACCTAGGGCAGGTGACTTTGCCTCTCTGAGCCCTGCTTCTCTCATCTGTAAAATGAGAGCAGTAACTTCCCCTGCCTCTTCAGGTTGTAGGGATTAAACACAATAGGGCTTGTGAGGGCTGGGCAGTTCGGGAACACAGTAACTGTTCAATAAATAGTCCCACAATGGGGCCCCGCCTCCTCCAAGACTAACTTCATGTGCCCTCCCACCCAAGCGCTTCCAGCTTCACCCAGTGCTCTCCCGTGTGTTCCTTCACATCTCCCTTCCCAGCAACCCTGTGAAGTGGGCATCAGTTTCCCCATTTGATTGTGCCCATTTTACGAATGGGAACTACTGAGTCCAAAAGACAGCAAGCATAGCTCTCCTCCTCACTCCCCAGGCAGAAACTTCTTTCCTCTCCTTCCCCACACTCCCTGCTGTCCTGCCCCTGCTCTCTCCCTTCCTTCATTCCATGACCCCTCCCCAACCCCGCCCCCTCCCCTTAGCCCAGCTGGGGGTTGGTTTAGGCCAAGAGTTAATGTCGGGGTCCCTGGGGGCCTGGAATGGGTCTCTGAGGTATGGATGTAGCCAAGGCCACCATGTGGGGTTGGACCCCTGCAAATCCCAGCCTCTCAGCCCCTCCTGCACCAGCCTCTCAGCCCCTCTTCCCTCCTCCCCATCATCTTCATCTCAACCACCCCTCCCATGGGCAGGTCTTCTCCCCTACCTTTTGCAGACCGACAGACTGAGGCTCCACACACAGTGAAAGCCTTTTACCCGAGGAGATAGATACCTGCCAATGGTGCCATCAGGATTCAAATCCAGGATATTCTGAATTCCAACTGCACCTTTCAGCCACTAAGCAACCGCTTCCCACTGTCCTGTGTGCCTCAGGACCCACCGAGGGGGGTCCCTGTTCACACCCCCTAGGATGAGATCAGGGATAGGCGTGGGGTGGGAGATATGGAGAGACATTCTGGTCTGCCTTCTTTGCTCTTTCCCCAGTGAATGCCACACAGGGGCTCAAATCATGACGAAAAGAAGGAAAAACACAGGAAACTAGGGAGGAAAGGGTAGGGGAAGCACCAGGGCTAACAAGTATGCATTTATGCACTGCTTGCTGTGTGCCAGAGGCACTGTGTAGGGCTCTGCCTTCATGAGCTCTATCCAGCTGCACAAGAGGAAGCACGCCCAGAGAGGTGAAGGAACCTCCCCACAGTCACACAGCAGGGAGGAGACAGGGTCTGATGGTCTCCCAGGTTCCCCATGAAATCACATCTTCCATTTACCAAGAAGCCACAGAGACTGCACACAAAGAGGCTGCAGACAATCAGTGCTCTGTCCACCCTGGTCCCGAGAATAGCAAGCTTTTGTCCCAGACAGCAGGGCCCCACCCTGCCAGGGACCTTCAATGAGGCTCTTCTGGAATTCTCTCTGGGCCAGAAACCTGAGGCCAGGTGGAGAGGAAGCTCATCTCAGATGACCGTTGCCATGGGCACAGCTACTCTCAGCTGCCCAGCCACTGGCTGTGATTCCATTCCTCTGGGCAGCTGGGCGTGGTGGCCTGTGGGTAGGGCCAGTCACAGCTGGCCACGGGCACTTCAAAGATAGCCTCCATATGAAGGTGATGGCACAGGCAGGGATGGGAGTGTCTAGGCCTCGGTCCCAAGGAAGGCAGGCTGATTCAGGACTTCCAAGCTGGGGTCCCTGGGTGGGCAACTGGGAGTCCATGGAGGTCCTAGAACAGGGAGTAAAATTGTGAGGGGGTGAGGGAGCACCTTCTAGAGAGAGGATCATGACTTTCAGAGGCCTGGGGACACCCTCCCTACTCCGTGCCCCCAACAAAGTAAAGCACACTTTGTGTGAGGAAGTCTCACTTTACCCAGCCATGCAGGAGCAGAGGTTGGATTGGGGCAGGGGAGGGGACAGCCTCTCTTCCGAGTCCCCCAAAGGAACCCCTAGAAATAGATCCTGGCTAACAGCTTGCAACCTGTAAACTGGCTCTGTCGCCCCCTACTCACAGGAGCGATGACTTCCCCTGTTCTTAGACCAAAAACCACACTCACGCTGGCCTCAGCACCTGTAGGTTTCATCACCCACTGCCACCCTCTCTTGTTCTCCAGGCTCTGGCCACCTTGGCCTCTCTCTGTCCTTGGTGCATGTTGCTTTCTCTCCTGCCCCGGGGCCTTTGCACTAGCTATGCCCCTTCAGGTCCCAGCTGAAATGTCACCTCCTCAGAGAGCTCTGCCCACCCGGACTCCAATCTAAATCAGGGGTCTGTAGTCATTTCCATCACATGACCCCTTTTGCTGTCCTCCACTGCTCATTTCCCTCTCTGGATTCATTGCGCACTGGACCTTGTTGTACCCCTGGGGAATAGAGACCTTATCTGTCGGCCGGGCGCCCCCGGTGGCTTACGCCTGTAATCCCAGCACCTTGGGAGGACGAGGCAGGTGGATCACCTGAGGTCAGGAGTTCAAGACCAGCCTGACCAATATGGTGAAACCCCATCTCTACCAAAAATACAAAAATTAGCCGGGCATGCTGGCGCACGCCTGTAATCCCAGCTACTCGGGAGGCTGAGATAGGAGATTCGCTTTAACCTGGGAGGCGGAAGTTACAGTGAGCCGAGATCATGCCACTGCACTCCAGCCTGGGCAACAGAGTGAGACTCTGTCTGAAAAAAAAAAAAAAAGAGAGAGAGAGAGAGAGAGACCTTATCTGTCTTCTTGCAAGATCCCCTGAGCCGAATTCAGAGCGTTGAACATAGTAAGTGCTCAGCAAACAGGGGTTGAATGACTATCCCTTCCAAACAATCTTCTCTGGGTCAGATCAAGGACTGATTAAGGGTGCATCATCTTCACAGCTGCCCTTTATCCAGCACCCCCTGGCAGGAGGCGCTGTGCTAAGTGTATTTGCATTTGTGGCCCCATTCCTTGTCAGAAGCAGAGTGTAGATTTTACTGAACTTATAAATACAAACCGGGAGCTGGATACAGTGGTAAAAGGTATCCATTGGCCGGGTGCAGTGGCTCATGCCTGTAATCTCAGCACTTTGGGAGGCCAAGGCAGGTGGATCACCTGAGGTTGGGAGGTGGAGACCAGCCTGACCAACATGGAGAAACCCTGTCTCTACTAAAAATACAAAATTAGCTGGGCGTGGTGGCCCACTCCTGTAATCCCAGCTACTCAGGAAGCTGAGGCAGGAGAATCGCTTGAACCTGGGAGGCAGAGGTTGCGGTGAGCCAAGATCACGCCATTGCACTTCTCCAGCCTGGGCAACAAGGGAGAAACTCCGTCTCAAAAAAAAAAAAGGTATCCATTGTAGATTGTCAGAGCTGGGCAGGAACTTTGAACTATCTAATCCCAATTTTGTTTTATTTTTATTTATTTATTTTTAAATTTATATATATATATTTTTTTCAATAGCTTTTGGGGAACAAGTGGTTTTTGGTTACACGGATGAATTGTATAGCAGCGAAGTCTGAGATTTTAGTGTTCCTGTTACCAGAGTAGTGTACATTGTTTTTACTTATTTTTTTATTGACAGGAAATATTTTACATATTTATGAGGTACAAGTGAGTGTTACGTGTACAGAATGTGTTATGATCAGGTCAGGGTATTTGGGGTATCCATCACTCGTATTTATCATTTCTGTGAGTAGGTAACATTTCAAGTCCTCCCTGCTAGCTACTTTGAAATATACAAGCCGGGTGCGGTGGCTCCCGCTTATAACCCCAGCACTTTGCGGGGCTGGGGTGGGCAGACCACTTGAGGTCAGGAGTTCGAGACCAGCCTGGCCAACCTGATGAAACCTCCGTCTCTACAAAAAAATACAAAAATTAGGTCCAGGCATAGTGGCTTACGCCTGTAATCCCAGCACTTTGGGAGGCCGAGGCGGCTGGATCACTTGAGGTCAGGAGTTCGAGACCAGCCTGGCTAACATGGGGAAACTCCATCTCTACTAAAAATACAAAAACATTACCTGGGCTTGGTGGCGCATGCCTGTAGTCCCAGCTACTCAGGAGGCTGAGGCAGGAGAATCACTGGAACTCAGGAGGCGGAGGTTGTAGTAAGCCAAGATCGTGCCACTGCACTCCAGCCTGGGAGACAGAGCGAGAATCCATCTCCAACAACTACAATGACAACAACAAAAATTAGCTGGACGTGGTGATGCGTGCCTGTAATCCCAGCTACTTGGGAGGCTGAGGCAGGAGGATGGCTTGAGCCTGGGAGGTGAAGGTTGCAGTGAGCTAAGATTGGGCCACTGCACTCCAACCTGCGTGATGCAGACAGACATTGTTTCAAAAAAATAAAAGAGAAAGAAATATACAATACATTTTTGCTAACTATAGTAGTCACTCTACTCTGCTATGGAATATTGGGGCTTATTTCTCTACCTAACTATATGTTTGTACCCATCAACCAACCTCTTTATCCCGCCCTCCCTCTATCACACCCTTCCCAGCCTCTGGTATCTATCATTCAAGTCTCAAAAAAAACTTTTGTTTTTTTTAGATGGAGTCTAGCTCTGTCCCCCAGGCTGGAGTTCAGTGGCGTGATCTCGGCTCACTGAAATCTCTACCTCTTGGGTTCACGTAATTCTCCTGCCTCAGCCTCCCAAGTAGCTGGGATTGCAGGTGTGTACCACCACACCCAGCTAATTTTTATATTTTTAGTAGAGACAGGGTTTCACCATGTTAGCCAGGCTGGTCTCGAACTCTGACCTCAAGTGATCCGCCCACCTCGGCCTCTCAAACTGCTGGGATTACACACGTGAGCCACCATGCCTGGGTTATCATTCTATTCTCTATCTCCACGAGATCTTTTTTTTTAAACTCCCACAAATGAGTGAGAACATGCAATATTTGTCTTTCTGTGCCTGCCTTATTTCACTTAACAAAATGACCTCCACTGCCAGCCATGTTGGCTACTAATGACATGATTTCATTCTTTCGTAAGGCCAAATAGCATTCCATTGTCTGTATATACCACATTTTCTTTCTCCACTGTCCATCAGTGGGAATTTAGGTTGCTAATCCCAATTTTAAAGATGAAACTGAGACCCAGAGGACAGAAGAGGTTTGCCCAGAGTCATACAGCGGATCAGGGCAGAGTGAGAGTTGAGAATGCACAACATTTTCTGGTGTTCCTTGTTGATGTGTTGAGAAGGGCCCTACTGTATCTTCAAGTACAAGGAGTAGGCCAGGAGTGGTAGCTCATGCCTGTAATCCCAACACTTTGGGAGACTGAGGTGGGCAGATCAGGTGAAGTCAGGAGTTCAAGACCAGCCTGGCCAACATGGTAAAACCCTGTCTCTACTAAAAAAAAAAAATACAAAAATTAGCTGGGCCTGGTGGCATATGCCTGTAGTCCTGGCTATTCTGGAGGCTGAGACAGGAGAATCACTTGAACCCAGGAGGCAGAGGGTGCAGTGAGCCGAGATCATGCCACTGCACTCCAGCCTGGGGGAGAGAGCAAGACTCCATCTCAAAACAAACAAGAACAGGGAGTAGGTGAAAATGATCCGGTTTAACTAACTGCATTAAGAACCAGTTGTCCTTTCAGGAGCCTTTGGCAGGCTGTAGCATCATAATTAATAAAAATATTAACACAGTCCATTTATTGAATATCTTCTATGTGTCAGGTATTTTACACGCCTTATTTCATGTAATACTGCAAGGTAGAGATGTTTCTGTCCCATTTCACAGATGCAAAAACTGAGGCTCAGAGAGGGGAACTGACTTGTCCTGGGCACACAACTTCAAAGTTTCAGAACCTGGACGTGAACCCAAGAATTGTTAGGTGGTGGTGGTGCTGGTGGCAGTAGTAGCAGTGAAAATAACAGGACACACCTAATGACCCTCCACACTGAGGCAGGTGTGAACTCAGGGCCCCAAGACACCTGCTGGAGGAGCTGCAAACTTTCCCAACAGTGTGCAAGTGAGGCTTCTCACGTAGCCCTTAGGAAACAGCCCAAGCACGGTAGGAGGACAAGTTCTCCTGCCCCTCCTGCCCTCCCTCCGTTCCACCCACTTTGGGAGCGGGCAGGAGCCTGGTGGGGTGTGGGGAGGCGCAGGGCCTGGCGGGGCCTCCCAGCTCTGCCTCTGCGGCACAATGGGGACAGCGCCACCTACCGGGCCCGTGGGAGCTGCAGGGGCTCAAGCGCAGGCGCTCAATGCGCAGGCGCAGGGCTGTGGGGCCGGCGTGAACCCGGGAACCCATCCACCAACCAACCAGCAAAACTGAAGGGTCGTGTCCCCATATAACCTCCTGCAAACGACGGTAATTGGGTCAACATTGAACGATTACGCAGATAAGCGCCTGCCCGGGCAGCTTCATTGACTCGGTGAGCTAGAAACTGTTGGTATTCCCATTGTATGGATGAGGAAACTGAGGCTCAGAGGGGTGAAGTGAGCTGTCCAAGTCTACTTCCCTAATAGACGGCCGACCCAGGACTCCAGTATTCGATCTCATCAGGCTACGCCCCACATCACGTAAATATATCTTTGCAGTTTTATTGAACACCTGAACACCTACTAAGGCAGCTTACTATGCTCCAAACATTGTTCTAATTACCTTACAAATGGTAACATTTAATTGAAGCCTCACAACAAGACCTGTGTGTTACGGATAAGGAAACTGAAACTCTGAAAGGTGAAGTTGTAACCGAGTCCAAACTCCTTCTGCTCCCTGCATGATAGCCACTCAGTCGAGAGGCCAGGAGTTGGAGCAAGGAAAGCGACTTTATTTTGGAGAGCCAGCAAACCTAAATGGCCTAAATGTTCTAAAGAGCCCTCTTAGAATTATATGCTCTTGGGCCCGGTGTGGTGGCTCATGCCTGTAATCCCAGCACTTTGGGAGGCCGAGGCGGGTGGATCACAAGGTCAAGAGATGGAGACCATCCTGGCCAACGTGGTGAAACCCCGTCTCTACTAAAAATACAAAAATTAGCTGGGCGTGGTGGTGCACGCCTGTAGTACCAGCTACTCAGGAGGCTGAGGCAGGAGAATCGCGTGAACCTGGGAGGCAGAGGTTGCAGCGAGCTGAGATAGCGCCACTGCACTCTGGCCTGGGCAACAGAGTGAGACTCCGTCTCAAAAAAATATATGTATATATGGGCTTGGCTTTGTCTTATATGTTAGGTAAGGGAGGAAAGAAACAGGCAGACATCTGGGTGCCAGCAAGGGTCAGGGGGAAGTTTGTGAAACTTCTTTGTCCTTGGGTAATGGTCTCTCATGTGACAATAGCCAAATCTCCTTGTTCCTATAAATCGTTAACAAATTATAGTTGTCTACATACTTCCTCTTTAATCCCAAAGTTAGTTTTGAAAACTATGTGATTGCTATTTCTGCATTTTATCTCAGTTGCTCTAAAATTATCCTAGCCTTCATACAGGAATGGGTAAAGGCCTTTAAACAAAAATGGACCAGTCTGGACAACATAGTCAACACAAAAAAATTTTTTTAAAGATTAGCTGGGGCCGGATGCTGTGGCTCACGCCTGTAATCCTAACACTTTGGGAGGCCGAGGCGGGTGGATCACCTGAGGTCAGGAGTTCGAGACCAGCCTGGCCAACATGGTGAAACCCTGTCTTTACTAAAAATACAAAAGGTAGCTGGGTGTGGTGGCGGGCACCTGTAATCCCAGCTACCTGTAATCCCAACTCGGGAGGTTGAGGTAGTAGAATTGCTTGAACCCAGGAGGTGGAGGCTGCAGTGAGCCGAGATCACACCACTGCACTCTAGCCTGGGCAACAGAGCAAGACTCCTTTTCAAAAAAAAAAAATTAGCCAGGTTTGGTGGTGCATGCCTGTAGTACCAGCTGCTCGGGAGGCTGAGGCAGAAGGATCCCTTGAGCCCAGGAGTTTGAAGCTGCAGTGAGCTATGATTGCACCACTGCGTTCCAGCCTAGGTGACAAAGCAAGACCCTGTCTTTAAAAAGACAGAAGTTCTTCTGCTGTTTAATTGTTACAAAGTGAATTTCAGTTCCTTGTCTATAACAGTGATGTATTACAATGGGTTTGACATGTTGTATTGTAATGGGCTCAGTGAGTTTTAACTGAATGAATCAACAAGTCAATGTCAACCCTCGTCAAACATTTGAGCTAATTTGGGTTTCTGTATGGTTAACCTGGGTCAGATAAGGCAGCACCCCATCAG
The DNA here is from genome assembly GCF_000001405.40 of Homo sapiens. Classification (NCBI taxonomy): domain Eukaryota; kingdom Metazoa; phylum Chordata; class Mammalia; order Primates; family Hominidae; genus Homo; species Homo sapiens. Next base: position 109,847,509 of record NC_000012.12, read on the forward strand.
TGGGAACGCTCTGGCAGGAGGTGTGCTGAAAATAGGCTCACTGTCAGCTGGCACACAAGTGAACACGGCTGAGGGGAGATTTGGAGTTGGACATGAAACTTCTGTGGCCCCATATCTGGCTGGGTTACCCTGGGCAAGTCTCTTTGCCACACCCTTTGGGGTTCAATTTCCTTCTCTGATAAACGGGGCTACTGAGGTCCACGTCTCAGGTGGTTGTGAAATGATTTGTGTAGAGCACTTTTGCAGGGCCCGTTATATAGTGACCAATGTGTGTTGTTTCCTCCCTGCCCCAGATGGAACTCAGTCCCACTTTGACAAGGATGAAACGGGAAAGGCATAGATGCCTTTCTGGCTTTTGTCTCTGGGGTAGAAAACCCAAAATGTTCCCAGGGTCCCCGCAGGTACTAGGAACGGGGGCTGGGCTGGGAAAATCCCTGCCTTCCACAAAAAAATTGCCCTCCCGGTCTCACCGTATTATGTTAGAGGCATAAAGAAAAGATCTTTTTGAGACGGAGTCTTGCTCTGTCACCCAGGCTAGAGTGCAGTGGCGCTATCTCGGCTGACTGCCAGCTCCGCCTCCCGGGTTAATGCCATTCTCCTGCCTCAGCCTCCTGACTAGCTGGGACTACAGGCGCCCGCCACCACGTCTGGCCAATTTTTTGTATTTTTAGTAGAGACGGGGTTTCACCGTGTTAGCCAGGATGGTCTCGATCTCCTGACCTTGTGATCCGCCCGCCTTGGCCTCCCAAAGTGCTGGGATTACAGGCGTGAGCCACCACGCCCGGCCAAGAAAACATCATTTTAAGGCCGAACACAGCGGCTCATGCCTGTAATCCTTGCACTTTGGGAGGCCGAGGCGGACGGATCACTTGAGGTCAGGAGTTTGAGACCAGCCTGGCTAACATGGTGAAACCCCATCTCTACTGAAAATACAAAAATATTAGCTGGGGTGGTGGTGCGCACCTGTAATCCCAGCTACTCTCCTGCTGAGGTAAGAGAATCACTGGAACTCGAGAGGCAGAGGTTGCAGTGAGCCAAGATTGTGCCACTGCACTCCAGCCTGGGAGACAGAGCGAGATTCCGTCTCCAAAAACAACAACAACAATTTTTTTTTTTAATTTAAAAAATTAGCCGGACATGGTGGCGGGGGCCTGTAATCCCAGCTACTCAGGAAGCTGAGGCAGGAGAATTGCTTGAACACAGGAGGTGGAGGCTGCAGTGAGCCGAGACTGCACCAATGTACTCCAGCCTGGGTGACAGAGCTAGACTCTGTCTCAAAAAAAAAAATCACTTTAAAAAGGAGAGACAGAATTCTGTATTTCTAAGAAATCCAAAGGAAAAAAACCCTAAAAAGCATTTAGAGCTTAGAATGAACAGTAACATCCCTAATCTGAGGACTATTAAAAAATATAATAAAATTGGCCGGGCACGGTGGCTCACACCTGTAATCCCAGCACTTTGGGAGGCCAAGGTGGGCGGATCACAAAGTTAGGAGTTCAAGACCAGCCTGGCCAACATGGTGAAACCCCGTCTGTACTAAAAAATATGAAAATTAGCTGGGCATGGTGGCAGGCGCCTGTAATCCCAGCTACTCGGGAGGCTGAGGCAAAGAATTGCTTGAACCCCGGAGGTGGAGGTTGCAGTGAGCCGAGATCGCGCCACTGCACTCTAGCCTGGGCAACAGAGCGAGACTCCTTCAAAAAAAAAAAAAAAAGAAAGAAAGGAAGGAAGGAAGGCAGGAAGAGAAAGAGAAAATATAATAAAATCACAGACAGGAAAAAACTTATTTCAGGCTTCCATCTCTTGACCACGTTAGAGGGAGCTTTCCAAACTGGGTATCTGCATATACCTGGGTATATGCAATTGCACACAAGAGTCTTGAAGGTGTCCATAATTTTCAGGGTCAGGTTCAAATCTCTTAATGGTGCAATGTGACACACACATACACAGCCTGCTCTGGGTCAAGCCACCAGGTCTTTGCCTGTGCCTTGAAGTGTCCCCTGACCCTCCTCTTCTACTAGGCTTCCCTACCCCCGAACTTCCACAGAGGCTTGATGCATGCCCCAGTTCCCTAAGATACATCCCAGGACACTGCCTCTCCTCTGAGGCTCCAGGTTCCCTCTGGGAACTGACCACTCTATTTCATCATTATTGATTTACCGGTCCATCTTGCCCACTAGATTATAAGCTCTATAGGAGCAGGAACAAAATAAAATAAATATTTCCCTCTACATTTAACCCTAGAATAAGAAAAAACAACAGCCCATGAAAAAGTGCAAACTGGTCCGGGGTGGGGAGGCAACAGGGATGGGTGGAGACTAAGGCAAAGTGAAGAACTGATTCCCCTTTCCCTTGCCCTGCCCAGCCAAGGGGGCAGTCGTCTCTCAGCTCCCACCAGGCAGCCTGGTTTTTCAAAAGAAGCTAGAAACCCAAGGTTCTTTTCTTAATTATACGTTACATAGGTATACACGTGCCATGGTAGTTTGCTGCACCTATCAACCCGTCATCTAGGTTTTAAGCCCTGTATGCATTAGGTATTTGTCCTAATGCTCTCCTTCCCCTTACCCACCACCCCTGACAGGCCCCAGTGTGTGTTGTTCCCCTTCCTGTGTCCATGTGTTCTCGTTGTTCAACTCCCACTTATGAGTGACAACATGCAGTGTTTGGTTTTCTGTTCCTGTGTTAGTTTGCTGAGAATGATGGCTTCCAGCTTTATCCATGTCCCTGCAAAGGACATGAACTCATTCTTTTTTATGGCTACAGAAACCCAAGATTTTTTTTTTTTTTTTTTTTTTTTTTTTTTTTTTTTGAGATGGAGTCTCGCTCTTATCAGCCAGGCTGGAGTGCAATGGTGCGATCTTGGCTCACTGCAAGCTCTGCCTCCTGGTTCCAAGCAATTCTCCTGCCTCAGCCTCTGAAGTAGCTGGGTTTACAGGCACCCGCCACCACACCTGGCTAATTTTTGTATTTTTAGTAGAGATGGGGTTTTACCATGTTGGCCAGGCTGGTCTCGAACTCCTGACATCAAGTGATCCACCCACCTCGGCCTCCCAAAATGCTGGGATTACAGAAGTGAGCCACTGCACCCTGCCGAAACCCAAGATTCTTATGTGAAATTCCCGTTTCTCCATGCAGCAACCAGTTCTGTTTTTTAAGACCACGGAGGCCAGGCCTGGTGCAGTGGCTCATGCCTGTAATCCCAACCCTTTGGGAGGCTGAGGCAAGAGGATTGCTTGAGGCCAGGAGATTGAGACCAGCCTGGGCAACATAGCAAGACCCCAATCTCTACAAAAACATTTAAAAATAATAGATAAATAAAATTTTAAAACCATGGACGCCAGAAAATACATTCTTGGTAGGATTTGTAAGGGTCCCCAGTTGTAATTTCTGATGCAGGAAAGAAAAAAAAATCAAGAACCAATACAGTGCACAGATGTGATTCCAAAATAGAGATTTATTTATTAAGGATTATTTAGTTTCTGCATAAAAATCTCCAATTGTTCCTCATTGGGTTTTTTCTTTTAAAACACACATCAACTCTTTTGGGGTTGCTTTGTTTGCCCCAGCACTTTAAAAAATACAGCTCTTTTTAGCGCCAGGAAGAACAGTTAAGGTTAAGGCAGTGAGGCGTTTTCTTGGATCTTAGCAGCTGAAGGGTTCATCTCTCCCCGTCAAGAGAATACACACGGTAGGTAGTTTCTTAGGTTGGAAAATCTGTCCCTGAAGGAAATAATTCTGCAGAAGAATGCAAACGGAGTCATCTATGGTCAATTGTTTGTGCCCTATAGCTTTGAAAGAAACGCCTCTTGGTCATCAAGGGCTTGCTGGTTGGTTTCAGCTGTAAAACAACAACAACAACAACAAAAAACAACCAGAAAAAAGAAAACAAACAAAAAAATCTGTCTAGCGAGACAGAAAGAGCAGGGTTTACAATAGTGCTGTGAGGCTGGGCTGTGCAAACCACATGAGAATACACACCAGTTTGCTTTTTAAAAAATCCCACATAGGGGCCCTGCATAATTTTAAATCAAACTCTTTATAGTCCTTAAAATAACAATACAGCGAGAGCCTCATAAGGTCACGTGCTTTTTTTTCTTTTTTTTCTTTTTTGAGACAGAGTTTCGCTTTTGTTGCCCAGGCTGGAATGCAGTGGCGCGATCTCGGCTACTGTAACCTCCACCTCCCAGTTTCTAGCGATTCTCCTGCCTCAGCCTCCCAAGAAGATGGGATTACAGGCGTGCGCTACCATGCCTGGCTAATTCTATATTTTTAGTAGAGATAGGGTTTCACCATGTTGGTCAGGCTGATCTCAAACCCTGACCTCAAGTAATCCACCCACCTCTTTTTTTTTTTTTTGAGACAGAGTTTCGCTCTTGTTGCCCAGGCTGGAGTGCAATGGTGCGATCTCAGCTCACTGCAACCTCCACCTCCCGGGTTCAAGCGATTCTCCTGCCTCAGCCTCCTGAGTAGCTGGAACTACAGGCGTGCGCCACCATGCCCAGCTAATTTTTTATATTTTTAGTAGCGATGGGGTTTCACCATGTTGGCCAGGCTGGTCTCAAACTCCCGACCTCAGGTGATCCACCCGCCTCAGCCTCCCAAAGTGCTGGGATTACAGGCGTGAGCCACGGTGCCCAGCCATCATGTGCTTATTTTTAAAGCGAGGTGGATGACACCATTCCCCCAGAGCTGTGTTCCTCGTTGGCAACAAAACAAAACCAAAAAACCCTAGGACTTGACTCATTAGAAGTGTTAATCGGTTTTTACCACGCTGAAATGAAGGTATAAAGTCAGTCTGTGCTGTCGTGAAATTCCAAGGAGATTTGGAAGTAAGATCATTATTTACTGGTCCTTTAGAATAGACCAAAAAAAAAAAAAAAAAAGACTTAAAAAACGAGGGCTGTCCCCTGCAGACTCTGGCAGGACCCTGGGCTGCTCTGGGGGACACAGGCCAGGGGCAGTTCACCGACTTGATTCACAGTGATTCTGGTTTGCCTGTTTCTCCATGTGGCCACGAGTCGGGGACGTGTCCAGCAGTGGGCATGCCTACACCTTGTAGTTAAGCTCAGCGTTCATCTGGGTGTACATCTCGTAGATGACATCGATGGTCGCCGTGTAGTTGACTAGGAAGAGGCGGATCTTCTCCAGGCACTCCTCCTCCGTAACATTCTGCCCCTTGGAGAGCGCTTTCAGGAAGTCAGACTTATAGGGTGCTGCGTACAGTGCTGCCTTGAGACAGGCAAGAAGGGAGGTAGGCACAGCGTTAGCGGGGGCTGAGGAGCCAGGCCAGCAGGCCAGGGTTCTGGGAGGGGTCTTCCCTGGGTCTGTGCTGGACAGGGGGTTGTGCTATTTGAGGTGTTGGAAGGGAAAGGAAAAGGGAGGTGTATTTTGAGCGACAGCAGGAAGGACATCAGCTTTCGGGACAGACAAGCCTAGATGCAAATGCCAGTCTGGGCCATCAACTAGCTGTGAGCCTTGAGCAAGTCAGTTAGCCTCTCTGAGCTTCAGCTTCCTCATCTGCAAAATGGGGATAATGGCTGCCACCTAATCGGGTTGCTTTTATAAGGATTAGGGGGCTTGTACAAAGTGCTCAGCACAGCACCAGGCATACAGTAGGCACTCAGCACAACACCAGGCACACAGTAGGTGTTCAGCATGGGTGAGTCTCTTCCCTCTGGGTTCCCTGCTCCAGAAAAGGTGAACTGCTCCTTCGGAAAACCCACTTTCTGAGTTGGGGAGACGACTGCTAAATATGCTGTAGTCTCTCTTTTGTCCTTAGGGGGGCGATACTTCCCTAAATTTCAGAGCTGCTCCCATACTTGAAAAGTACAGAGAATTCAAAATTCACAGAATTTCAGAGCCAGAAGAAAAAAGGTACAACTAGATAAAAAGCTTAGGCTAGCCAAGCACGGTGGCTCATGCCTGTAATCCCAGCACTTTGGGAGGCCGAGGTGGGCAGATCACAAGATCAGGAGTTCGAGACCAGCCTGGCCAATATGATAAAACTCCATCTCTACTAAAAATACAAAAATTAGCCAGGTGTGGTGGCTGGCATCTGTAGTCCCACTACTCGGGAGGCTGAGGCAGGAGAATTGCTTGAACCCGGGAGGCAGAGGTTGCAGTGAGCTGAGATCACGCCACTGCACTGCAGCCTGGGTGACAGAGCGAGACTCCGTTTCAAAAAAAAAAAAAAAGTTTAGGCCATGAGTTTGATAGGATGAGGAAAGTATAAATATTATTTAAAAAATTTTTTTAGACATAGTCTCACTCTGTCCTCCAGGCTGGAGTCAGTGGCGTGATCTTGGTTCACTGCAACCTCCGCTTACTGGGTTCAAGTGATTCTCCTGCCTCAACCTCCCGAGTAGCTGGGACTACAGGTGCCCGCCACCATGCCCAGCTAATTTTTTGTATTTTTAGTAGAGATGGTGTTTTACTATATTGGCCAGGCTGATCTCCAACCTGACCTCAGGTGATCCACCTACCTGCCTTGCCTCCCAAAGTGCTGGGATTACAGGCATGAGCCACCGCGCCTGGCCAAATATTATTCTTTCATAATAAAAGCAGTAATAGCTAGGGTGGTGGCTCACGCCTGTAATCCCAGCACTTTGGGAGGCCGAGGTGGGAGGATTGCTTTGAGCTCAGGAGTTCGAGACCAGCCTGGGCAACATGGTGAAATCTCGTCTCTACAAAAAATACAAAAATTAGCTAGGTGTTGGTGGCTCGCACCTGTAGTCCCAGCTACTCAAGACACTGAGGCTGGAGAATCGCTTGAGCCTGGGAAGTGGAGGTTGCGGTAAGCTAAGACTGTGCCACTGCACTCCAGCCTGGGCGACAGCGACAGAGTGAGACCCTGTCTCAAAAAAAAAAAAAAAAAAAAAGTAATAGCTTTGATGTACTGAGTGTAAACCATGTGAACCATGTGTCAAGCACTTTATAGTGATTAATTCATTTAATTGTCACAATGACTCTTTGAGTAGTGCCTATTTTATACCCATTTGAAAGATGATATTGAGGCTCAGGGAGGTAGGATCACAGCCCCCCATTTCTGTGTTGTGTGACCTTGTCTGAGCGTCACTGTCCTCATCTGGGAAATGGAAGTGAGAACAGTGCCCACCTTGTGGTGCATCTGTGAAGATTACAATTCATGGGCAGCTGCCCTGGGCCAGGTACACAGGACACACTATTACTACTGACGTGGTGGTTTGAGGATTTGTAGGGGCAATGCACTGTGGAGCTCTCGAGGGGCCCATGGGAATGGGCCCTGTCTACAGCTCTTCCGGGGTGGATGGCCCAGGGGCTGCCACGCATCTCACCCTATGACCAGCTCTTCCTCTCTGGAACCATACTGGCTTCTGCCCCAGCCTGCTTGCAGACTGTACCCCACAGGAACACTGTACAGGGCCCGTCAGCCCCTCGTTCTCATGGCCGCCAGGGTGGGCAGGCAGAGGGAGCTGCAGCAGAAAGGGTGGCCAGAACAGGCCGGGCAGGAACACGTGGGTGAGATGAGGGCAGCAAGCAGCAGGTGAAGGGCATGGCGCAGGGCAGCCGGAGGGCCTTCGCAAGTCTCCTGAGCAGGGCTGTCCGCCTGGTGATCAACTGTAGGGCCCTCACCTAACCAGGCAGGTGCTGAAGCCTCACCTCCAGGAGCCCTGGCCAATGTCACCCCAACACAAGCCACCAAGAACCCAGAGGGCCGGTGTCCTTTCAGCAGATGCTCCCAGGGGAATGGGAGCTGAATTTGAGGGGTCGAATTGGAGGGGTAAATTTGAGGGGCCATCAGGCTGGGCCACTTTTGACCTGGGGTCCTCCAGGGCTTTCCCTGTGGTTTCTCGTCGCCCCACCATCAGGCCTTGCAGGCCAAGGCCCCTAAAGAGAAACACCGTGGAGTAGCTACAGTGACACCCGCTGCAGCTGTGAATGGGGCTGGCCAAGGGCACGGGAGGGGGACCTCTCAGTACACTAGCCTCACCCAAATAGATGAGGGAGCCCTTCCTGAGCCCGAGGGGGTAAACACAGCCTCACAGGCCAGGAGGCCTCGGCTAAGCAGGGGCAGAGTGGGGAGCAGAATCTGCAAGCTGGTGGTCCTTTGGGGCTCATGGGGGTGGCTCACCTGGAAGATCTTCTGCACGATCCAGCCATGGTACTTCTTGAGGGCCATCTCGTAGGCCTTGGTGGCGTTGACACGGATGAGGTTGGGGTGGTTCTCGTCCCGCTCCCCGTCGCAGATGCTCTGGAGGAAGACCTGGATGAAGCGGAGGCCTCTGTGGCCCAGGGAGGAGAAGGTTCGTTAGGACCCTGCACAGCCCTGTCGTGAAAGACCCTGATGGACTCTGAATTTGCCACCTACTGTGAGCCAGGAACATGGGCGCCCCAGAGGGAGTGGTTATTCCCTAATCATCTTTCCCTTCTGCTTACAAGTAACGTGACCACTTGGCTCCATTGACTATCTCCCGAGCACCTTCTCTCCTCCAGGCCTGGTGCTGGCCCATGACAAGTCACACTGGCTGTAAGATCCACGAGGGGTGGGTCTGGGCCTGCCTTGTCCATTTCTGTGTCCACATGACCCCCACAGGCTGGAACATGGTAGGCAACCATCAGGCTTGAGGAATGAAGCCACAGTGCTGGCCCTCGAAGGGTTCGCGGACCACAGACTGTGGATACACTGGGCACACTGGCGAGACTGGCCCCGCGTGTACCAGGCTTCCCGCCTCCACTCCCCAGCCCTCAGCATCTTTCTAAGTCTGCTACGGTGCTCCTCTGCCTGAGACCTCCCTGAGCATCCTCCAATGGCCACTCGAGCTTTTCCTCAAGGGGCAGGGTGATGTTTTGAGAGCCAGGAGAAGCGGATGGGGTACAACAAGGAGTCCACATCGAAAATCTCACCAGGGCCAGCCCCTTAGCACACATCATCTCATCTCTTGCTTCCCTGGGGCCTGTGAGGCTGAGCTTGGCACAATCAGCCCATTTCACAGAGGAAAGCACTGAGGCTCCCCTAGAAAGGCTCAGTCACAGGCCAGGATGTGAACCCTGCCTGCCTCACTGACCCCCAGCAGGCTCTTTCCTTTGCTGCCCCTCACTGTCCCACTGGGGTCCCCAGATGAGCTGCTCTGCTCCCTCCCTGCAGTGGGGTGGGGATCAAGTCAGGGTGGGGTGCTCTAAGGGGCAGGAGCACTGGGTTTAAGGGCTGAAGAGTCTGTAGCTGGTAGAGAACAGCATGAGTTCAAACTAGCCCATAGGATGTATTTGTGCAAATTAGAACTCCTCCTCACGGCCGGGCACGGTGCCTCACACCTGCCTCACACGGATCACTTGAGGCCAGGAGTTTGAGACCAGCCTGGCTAACATGGCGGGCTTGTCTCTACTAAAAATACAAAAATTAGCCAGGCATGGTGGTGCACACCTGTAATCCCAGCTATTCAGGAGGCTGAGGCAGGAGAATTGCTTGAACTTAGGAGGGGGAGGCTGCAGTGAGCCGAGATTGTGCCACTGCACTCCAGCCTGGGTAACAGAACGGGATTCTAAAAATAAAAAATAGAAGAATTCCTTCTCCTCAAGATGGTGTACTTCTACCAAGAAACTGTCATAACATACAAATCCACTTTGTACGCGTGACCAGCCCTAAACAGGACACCTTTGTGCAGTACGCAACCTGCATAACTGTGCTGGATGACATGGGCACGTGATTTGGCCTCCAGAAGCGCCAGCTGCCTCCTCTGTGAGATGCGAATAGCTACCACACTTAACTCACAGAATATGAAACCCAATCAGGTGTATAAAGAGCTTAGCACAACTCCCAGATCAGGGTGTGCTCATATACTGATGGGACTGGAACCAGGAAGCATCACTGTCAGGCAAGCCCTGGCCATTGGGAGGCCTTTTCCCAGCCATTAACTAGCATCACACTGGAAGGGCTCGGAAGTGACCTTCCCAGCCTGAGCTGACACTGCGGAACAGTGACAGGTTTGCTTTCCCTCCTCTGCAGCACAGAGCCCAGGCCCTGCCACCTGAGCCCATCACCTTTTCAGCCACATCAGCGCCAGTGTGGCCCCTACTTTGGGCCACTCTGCTCCATACATTTCTTTCTCCACCTCCAGGATGTTCTGCAGGGTCCGGAACTTGGCTGGGTTGGTGTCGTACACAGCTTTGATTTTCTGAAATGGAGCACACAAGATTTCCCCTTGGGTAAGCTGCCCCCATAGACATCTGGCCCGCACGCTGGGTGAAAAGCACCCTACCGGCATCTCCTGCTCCTTCCTGCCCTCCAGGAACAGCAGGGATAAGACTTGTAACAATAACTATGACTGTTCACATGAGCCAGGATTTGCAAAATGCTTTACAGGCACTACCTTATATGATCCTGGTGGCAAACCTGATGTTGCTGTCATTATCCCATTTTACAGGCAGAGACACTGAGGCTCACAGAGGAGCACGGACTTGCCCAAGGTCACACAGTTGGTACAGAGTTCATGTTCTCCAGCCACTACTGACACTGCCTCAGACACCAAGTATCTGAAGTTTTGCTTTGGTGGACAAGTGGAAATAGGTTCCGAGGATTCCAAGAAGTCCAGGAACGAAGGCCTCTGAGATGGAGCCAGGTAGGCCTGGGTCTGAATCCCAGCTTTGCCACGTACTTGCTTGTGACCTTAAGCGAGTCCTTCAACCCCTCTGAGTCTCAGCTTCCTCATCTGTAAAAAGGGGATAACACAGGACCAGCCTCAAAGGGCTGCTGGGATGAAGAAATGAGATCATGCAGTGTGTCCCAAGCCCTTGGCTGGGCCCTAGGTGGATTCTCACAGGCAGTCTATGGCTGGGGAGGCGGCATCAGGAACTACCAGGATTGGAGAAGGGGAAGGCCAGACCAGTGCTGACTGTAGACTTTGGAGCTTACTTACTTGGTGGGGATAGATGAAAGAACCAGCAGGTTCCTTCTCAGGGTCAACCCTTTAATTAGACTTTGGTTCCAGTCAGGCTAGACTGGTGACCAGATGGCAAGACTGTGGAGGAGGGCAGAGAACATTGAGCCCTGATTGGACAAGCTTGGGGCCCATCTTCCATGTCTCCATTCCCTTCCTTGGGGTGGGAAGCTTGCAGCTGGGACCATGATGCTGGTAACCCAGGTGGGCTTAGATTCCTAACGCAAGTCTTGGGCTGTGGCTGCCCGGCCAGGTACATACCGTGATGTTGCCGCTTATGTCTGCCTTGATGGGAGTAAACACTGGGGACCCAAGGCAATCTGGGGACAAAATGAGAAGACAGATTGAGATTCGCAGCAAGAGTGATTTTTCAGGGCCACCGCAGGCCATGGGGACATGGAAGGGTGGATTACATGGTGTGTCCCGGGGAGAGCTGAGTTGTTCTGGATGTTACTAAGGCAGCATGGGCTTGGGTGCAGCCCCCAGCTCTGTTCTCTCAGCTTCCTGTTTCCTATCTGGCAAATGAGGCTACAGCACCAACCACAGAGGCATGATGAAGATGGCTTGAAATAAACAATCCAATCCTAAGACACACATTTGATTCATCTCTAGAATCAGAATGGTATTTGTTTGTTCTTTGAGGTTTATCTTGAGACAGGGTCTCGCTCTGTCACTCAGGCTGGAGCACAGTGGTGTGATAATAGCTGACCACAGCCTCGACCTCCTGGGTTCAAGCCATCCTCCCACCTCAGCCTCTGGAGTAGCTGGGAATACAGGCACGCACCATCATACCCGGCTAATTAAAAAAAAATTTTTGGCCTGGTGCAGTGGCTCACGCCTGTAATCCCAGCACTTTGGGAGGCCGAGGCGGGTGGATCACTTGAAGTCAGGAGTTCAAGACCAGCCTGGTCAACATGGTGAAACCTTGTCTCTACTAATATACAAAAATTAGCTGGGCGTGGTGGCTTGCGCCTGTAATCCCAGCTACTCAGGAGGCTGAGGCAGGAAAATTGCTTGAACCCGGGAGGTGGAGGTTGTAGTGAGGGGAGATCACGCCACTACACTCCAGCCTGGGAAACAGAGCGAGACTCTGTCTCAAAAAATAATTTTTTTTTTGCACAGATCTTGATGATCAGGATCTTGTGTAGACCTAAGCTAATGTGTCTGTTTTTAACAAAAAAGATTTTTTTTAAAAAAAAGTACTTAACTTTTATAATAGAAAAAAGCTCATAGAATAAGGATATAAAGAATTTTTTTCTAGAGCTGTACAATGTGTTTTTTTTTAATTGTATAAAACATTTGATTTATTGGTCTTTGGGGGAATTTGATGCATCACCACTATATTAGAACTGAGCCATTAATTTTGTAGCTTCATCAATATTAACTACTTTATTTTCATGATGCTGCTGAGGAATCAGTTCTTTCTACAGAGGTTCAAGAGAAAGTCCTTTTAAGAAGTGTGCAAATCTCGTATATTTATTAGATTGGTGCAAAAGTAATTGCAGTTTTTGAATACAAAAGCTTTATCTACTCTGTTGACTTTTTCATCATTCATAACGTTTAACTTTTTTTTCCCCGAGACTTTTTGCTCCCCTTGCCCAAGCTGGAGTGCAATGGTGCAATCTCAGCTCACCGCAACCTCCGCCTCCCAGGTTCAAGCGATTCTCCTGCCTCAGCCTCCCGAGTAGCTGAGATTACAGGCACACGCCACCATGCCCAGCTAATTTTGTATTTTTAGTAGAGATGGGGTTTCACCATGTTGGTCAGCCTGGTCTCAAACTCCCAACCTCAGGTGATCCGCCCGCCTCAGCCTCCCAAAGTGCTGGGATTACAGGCGTGAGCCACTGTGCCCAGCCTCGTTTATCTTCTTAAGACTAGTGGTAACTGGTTTTGCTTTGTTGGTAGCCTTAAAGTGTTTTCAGCTGGCTATATGAAATACACTCCTGGACTCCTGCCCTCTTAATTTGTTCTCGCCATTGTCTTCAATAGTAGCATGCACCTATGTGTGTTTTTAAAGACAGGGTCCTTTGGCAACTGAAGAAAGATAAATAAAAATAAATAAATGCATAAAATAAAGGCAGGGTCTTGTTCTGGCACTCAAGCTGGAGTACAGTGGCAAGATCACAGCTCACTGCAGGCTTCAACTCCTGGACTCAAGCGATCCTCCCGCCTCAGCCTCCCAAAGTGCTGGGATTAGAGGGATACACCATCACACCCAGTAGAATGTTCTTAAATGGAGGCGTTTTCCTTTCTTGGTGGGTTATAATATGTCGGAGCATCATATAATAGGTAACACCTTGGAGATGATAAAATGTAGACCTGGAAACTGCCTGGCAGTGCCTAGGACTGCTGGGATCTGCTGAAATGTGAGCAGCCTGCTGCCTGCCTCTCCTCCTCTCCCTCTTTTGTCACCCCCATGGCAGGCTGTCACAGGACATCTTGCCCCTTACATGCAGGAAGTATGCAGGTTCTTTACTGAGCAGGCTAGATGTGGACTTTACCTTTGAGCCTGAAGACAGATTACCGGGCTTCCATGACACCTTTTCATTGTCCTTGTTGCGGTCCAGAAAAGTGAGCTCACTAAGCCTGCTACAGAGCCCAGGGGACAAAGACCCCAGAGCAGGCTAGAGGTGGGTGCCAATCCCACGGGAGTGAAAGGCCAATACCCAGGAGGCCAGACAGGGACCTCAGTGTGGGCACCAAGTGACCGCATGAGGGCAGAAGGCTAGGGGTGGAACTTCCTTAAGCCAAATTCCACCCAGGGTGACCCTGCACACCTGGCCAGCCATCTGGAACATTCTAATTGCAGCTATGAAAAGAGGTGCATGAGAGAAACAGCATTAAACATTTAAGGAAACAGCCCATAGCCCAATGGAAAGAAGGTGGGCTAGGGATTCAGCCAGACAGGGTGAGAATCCTGCACGACCACTCCCCAGCCAAGCAAGTCTCCTCGCCGCTGTGTGCCTCAGTTTCCTCTTGTGTCAAATGGGGCAATAGTAGTACTTATTTCATATGCTTCTTTAAGAAATTAAAAATAAGGCACCGAGGCCAGGCGCAGTAGCTCACGCCTGTAATCCCAGCACTTTGGGAGGCCAAGGCGGGCGGATCACAAGGTCAGGAGTTTGAGACCAGCCTGGCCAACATGGTGAAACCTTATCTCTACTAAAAATACAAAAATTAGCCGGGCGTGGTAGCAGGTGCCTGTAGTTCCAGCTACCCAGGAGGCTGAGACAGGAAAATCGCCTGAACCTGGGAGGCAGAGGTTGCAATGAGCCGAGATTGTGCCACTGCACTCCAGCCTGGCGACAGAGCAAGACTCCACCTCAAAAAAAAATAAGGCACCAAACACATGTAGCAGAGTGCCCGGTGAGTGGTGAACACTCAGTACCTGAACTTCAATCATTTTTATGACCTCATATCATTACTAGGGTCATGTGCTGTGACCCAGCAAATGACATCATCGTGGAAGCCACAGGATTCCCCAGAACCTCCATCGAGTGGGACTCATCCTTGACCTGTGCCCCTGCTGCTTTCTCTGTGCTCCCCTGTGAGGCCCCGCTAGGGCTGGGGCTGCCACCTTGACCTGCTGCAAGCTCCGGGCATGCTGTCGTCATGCTAGGCCACGAGCAGTCTCCTCTCGGCAACTGAGCCTCTTTCCAACGTCTGCAGAGGCAAATCTCCCAGCAAGGGGCCATGCTGGAGCCTTCCCTAGGGTGGTCACGTCAGAGGCTGCTCAGAGGTGCTGCGCCAGGGGTGCGGGCAAAGAATCCAGGGTGCTCTGGTCTCCCAGACAGGCCTGCCAAGCATCAATGGGGTGACGACTCCATGCCACCCTTTAACCTCACCTGATGGATCACTGACCTCCGCTGCGTGTAGAGGCCAGCCTGGGGAGGTCATGCCACTTGTTAGCCCTGGAAGGTATTCTCTTCCAGCACTGCTACTGCTGCCTCTCTGAAAGGACCGTGCATTCTCAACTTACATAATAACGCCGGAGCCAAGATCCTCTTTCCTCTGCCAGTGACTACAGTGCTGCCAGGGGGTGCAAATTCCAACCCTCACAGGGGGCCAGGCAGGTGCCATGGATGGGCTACATGGGGACTGGCAAAACCCATGCAGACGTATGGCTGTTCCTCAGCTCCAGCTGACGGCTTTACATCCTCATCTTCCCAAAATGTATAATGAGCTGGACGTGGTGGCATGTAACTGTAGTCCCAGCTACTCAGGAGGCAGAGGTGGGAGGATCGTTCAAGCCCAGGAGTTCAAGGCTGCAATGAGCTATGATTGTGTCACTGCACTCCAGCCTGCGCAACAGAGTGAGACTCCATCTCTAAAAAAAAATTAAAATGTGGGCCAGGCGCAGTGGCTCACGCCTATAATCCCAGCACTTTGGAAGGCCGAGGCGGGTGGATCACCTGAGGTCAGGAGTTCAAGACCAGCCTGACCAACTTGGTGAAACCCCATCTCTAATAAAAATACAAAAATTAGCCAGGTGTGGTGGTGCATGTCTGTAATCCCAGCTACTGGGGAGGCTGAGCCAGGAGAATCACTTGAACCCAGGAGGCAGAGGTTGCAGTGAGCCGAGACTGCGCCACTGCACTCCAGCCTGGGCAACAAGAGTGAAATTCCATCTCAAAAAAATAAATAAAAAATAAAAATGCATAATGTCCAAAGGCTTACATTAGACTGATGGATGGATGGACAGAGATATGGATAGATAGGCACAGTAAAATATTAATGGTAACATCTAGATGATAGGTGTATGAGTACTATTTGCTGTAAAATTCTTTCAGCTTCGCCACATGTTTGAATTTTCTCATAGAAAATACTGAAAAAAGTAATGTCAGGTTTTTTTTCTGCTCATAAAATCCTATTTCTTTTTCTACTTTTTCTTTCAAGTCTGTTTTACTGTTACAGTGATCATAGTCACATGTGTTACACCTTTGTTTTTTAAACCAACAATCTTGCCACCAGACTTGAGCTCTGAAGAGGGCAGGGACAAGGTTCCCTGCTATGCCCCCAGCACCCAGCAGATGCCTGACCCCAGTTGGTACTTGTATGACATCTGTGGAATGAATGAATGAGTGAATGAATGGACTGTGGGAAACGTGGAATCTGTCAGCGTATTTCCCTGCCAGGCTCTCCATCTCTGTACCCTCCTATGGTTCAGACTGACCCAACACACTGGTTTTAAACACCTATCCAACCCAGATGACAGAGGATATGTGAAGGGACTTTGGGCCTCAGTTCCCCTGTTTATAAAACGGATATCCTTCTAGGATGTTCTTCTGCAGGGCTGCTGTGAGAGAGAGGTGTCACACGTGCAAAGTGAGGGCTCAAAGCACTGACCACGATTGTTTTTACTGCCACTGGCTGGTTTTCAACCAAAGCCTTCCAGTGAAGAAGAGATGACGGCAGGGCCTGATGACAGATCACCATCGACCATGGGTGGCTTATTAGCTTTTCTTAATGACTCCGGTCATTCAACATGCATTTCAGAGATGCAGAAAAATGTTATGCAGCATCCTTGTGCAGTTCTGAGCAGCCCTGCCCTGGTGGCAGGGAGAAAGGCTTTTTGTTTTGTGTTCTCCTAACCATGAGCTACGAGGGTCACGAGGCCACCATGGTCAGCAGAAGCTGGGCCCCAACAGCAGCTGTTATTGTGTGTGGGGCCACCACACAGGGCCAGAGCTCCCGCTCAACAGTAGGGGAGGAATGTGGGGCCTCAAATGCACTTCTGGGGCTGGGAGCCTAGCAGAAGAGAGGGGAGGCGAGGCAGGGGCTGGGAACAAGACCCCAGACTACTTCCATGCTCTACCCACAGGGAGCCACCAGCAGGAAAGGCAGCTCTGTATGCATCTCTGTGTTACATAAACAAGCACGCTGAAGTGGGTTTGGAAGCATCTGGAGGTGGGCTGCCTGCAATTAGCAGTGGCGTCAACCTGGGCAGTGGCACTGAAGCAGTGGCATCCACAGTCCTGGGTTTGAATCTCAGCTCTGGTGTGAGTTTGGCCAAGTGACTTAACCACTCCAGGTTCAGGCCCTTCGGTTTCTACAGCCCAGAGGTGCTATGCAAACAGGAAGTGCTCTGTATATGGTTGGGCTGAAGCCTGTTTCAACATCACCCACCCAAGGCTCTGGGCTTATGTTTGCCTTTGGTGCAGTCCAAGGACATCAAGTCACAGAAAAGCCAAATGACTTGCCCAGGTTACACTCCAGGGAGTGCCAGGAACTCAGACACAATTCCAGAGCCAAAGCTGCTTCCACTACACCCTTAACCTTTCTGTCTAGAATGTTACCATTCTTTGAACTCAAAGAATGTTTCTTTGAGGTCCTGTGAACTCAGAGAAAATAGGAAACCAGAAGACGATTTTAATTCCCAAGCATGTGGTGGCTTTTCTAATAGTTTATTTTATTTATTTACTTATTTTATTTTATTTTATTTTTTGAGGCAGAGTCTCACTCCGTTGCCCAGGCTGGAGTGCAGTGGCGCAATCTAGGCTCACTGCAACCTCCACCTCCCGGGTTCAAGTGATTCTCCTGCCTCAGCTCCCCAGAAGCTGGGATTACAGGCGTGTGCCACCGCACCCAGCCTCTAAGAGTTTAAATTCAAGCCTGTGCCTGCTCTGAATACAGCATGACATGTTTCTACCAGGCTCTCAAGCCTTCCCTTTCCTACAGAATGCAGCCTTAACCCCAAATTACCCTTCTTGTTTGACCAGTTTTGCAGTTACTCCAAACTTGTTTTTTTCAATTGTTGTCAGCAAACAGCCTCTTTGAAATGCCACCCAGAACCTGTCTGCCTGGAGGGAGGGAAGGGACTTGGAGGGTTTTCTAGTTCATGACCTTCAGGGAGAAAGGAAGCTGTCTTTTAAACATTTTTTATTTATTCTTCTTCTTCTTATTTTTTAATAGAGACAGGGTCAGGCCGAGCATGGTGGCTCACGCCTGTAATCCCAACACTTTGGGAGGCCGAGGCGGGCGGATCACCTGAGATCCGGAGTTCAAGACCAGCCTGACCAACATGGTGAAACCCCCATCTGTACTAAAAATACAAAAATTAGCTGGGCATAATGGTGCACATCTGTAATCCCAGCTACTTGGGAGGGTGAGGCAAGAGAATCACTTGAACCTGGGAGGCGGAGGTTACAGTGAGTTGAGATTGCGCGTGAGATTCTGTTTGAAAAAAAAAAAAAATAGAGACGGGGTCTTACTATTTTGCCCAGGCCAGTCTCCAACTCCTGGGCTCAAGTGATCTGCCAGCCTTGGCCCCCTCAAAGTGCTGGGATTACAGGCGTGAGCCGCCATGCCTGGCCTGAAGCTGTCTTTAAAAAAAGAAAAATCAGATGTGGTCCCACCATCTTCTTTCACAGACCCAACTAGAGTGAGCAGATTCCAAATACAGTAAAGCCTTGGTTATCTGGAACAGCTGGCAAACGGCCCCTTCTGTTTAATGGAGAAGGCTTTTTCCAATGCACGCTACTCAACTCAGAAGGCACAAGGAAAGAAACCAATAAATCTAATTATAAAAAACAGAAACCTCCTATATGGGGGAGACGAGAAATCCCACCACCAACCAAAGCCAAACAACTAGGGGGGCAGAGAGTAGAGAGTCTGTGTAACAAGGATAACAGAAAAAAGGCTAATATCCCTAATATGTAAACAGCTCTTACAAATCAGTAAGAATAAAACAACAGCCCTACAGAACAATGGGCAATTCACAATAGAAATGAAAAGATGCTTAATCTCAATAATAACAAAAAAAAAGTGAAATATTTTCCATCTACCATTTTTTAAAAAAAGAGTCTTGCTATATTGCGCAGGCTGGAGTGCAGTGGCCATTCACAGGTGCAATCCCTCTACTGATTAGCATGGGAATTTTGACCTGCTGTTTCTGACCTGGGCCAGTTCACACCTCTTTAAGCAACCTGGTGGTCCTCTTTGCCAGGAGGTCACCATATTGATGCCAAACTTAGTGCAGACACCCAATCAGTGTAGCACACTACAGCCAAGAACTCTTGGGCTCAAGTGATCTTCCTGCCTCAGCTTCCTGAGTACCTGGGACTACAGGTGTGCACCACTGTGCCTGGCTCTCAAATATGAATATACCATCAGCATTCTAGTTCAGCCATCCTGGATGGAACTCATCAAAATGTAACACAAATGTCACTGCTTTCATAGTGGAAGCCATTCGTAGCTTTCTGAACAGGGCCATCATCAAAAATACGAGTTATGATAAAGATGTAGCCCAGAAATGTCACTGGTCCCCTCAAACCGTCACTAAATGACTCTGGATGGTGTGCCTTTAGGCTTTTAGGACAACTAGACAGCTTTGTGTATCTTTTTTTTTTTTTTTTTTGAGACAGGGTATCACTGTGTTGCCCAGGCTGGAATGCAGTGGCACAATCATGGCTCATTGTAGTCTGGAACTCCTGGTCTCAAGCAATCCTCCCACCTCAGCCTCCAGAGTAGTTGGGACTACAGATGTGCACCACCATGCTGGGCTAATTTTTTTTTTTTTTTTTTTTTTACCTTTTGTAGAGACTGGGACTCACTATACCATTGCCCAGGCTGGTCTTGAACTCCTGGGCTCAAGCAATCCTCTAGCCTCGGCCTCCCAAAGTGCTAGGATTACAGGCATGAGCCACTGTACCTGGCCAACTTTGTGTATTTTTTTAAAACTCCTGTTGATGGTTGACAGCTACTTCTTCCTGCAGTGCTTCAATTATTTATTATTCTTTTTTTTTTGAGACAGAGTCTCACTCTATAGCCCAAGCCGGAGTGCAGTGGAGCAATCTCGGCTCACTGCAACCTCCGCCTCCCGAGCTTAAGCAATTCTCGTGCCTCAGCCTCCCGAGTAGCTGGGACTACAGGCGCACGCCACCATGCCAGGCCAATTTTTTGTATTTTAGTAGAGACAGGGTTTCACCATGTTGCCCAGGGTGGTCTCAAACTCCTGAGCTCAAGCGATCCACCCACCTCGGCTTCCCAAAGTGCTGGAATTACAGGCGTGAGCTACCGTGCCCAGCCAAATTCTTATAGATACTTAAATACCAAATAGCCACCAGAATCAGAATCTCCTGCAAAGAGAAGGTATGCACCAATGAGGGGTTTCATGCATGGCCTCTGGGACAATTCTGACTAGACAAGGGCTATCTGGGGCCTCCTGCCTGGATCTCTGCCACAGTTCAGATGGGTGACATTGCCCAGAAAGCAGAATTCCCTGTAAGCCAGCAGTGACCATATGCTACACAGAATCACACTAATTTCTCTTTTTTCTTTTGAGATGGGGTCTCATTGTATCACCAAGGATGGGGTATAGTGGCACAATCACAGCTCACTGCAGCTTTTTCTTTTCTCTTTTTTTTTTTTTTTTTGAGACGGAGTCTCGCTCTGTCGCCCAGGCTGGAGTGCACTGACACGATCTCAGCTCACTGCAAGCTCCGCCTTCTGGGTTCACGCCATTCTCCTGCCTCAGCTTCCTGAGTAGCTGGGACTACAGGTGCCCGCCACCACGCCTGGCTAATTTTTTGTATTTTTAGTAGAGACAGGGTTTCACCGTGTTAGCCAGGATGGTCGCGATCTCCTGACCTCGTGATCCACCCGCTTTGGCCTCCCAAAGTGCTGGGATTACAGGCGTGAGCCACCGCGCCTGGCCTCACTGCAGCTTTGACCTCCGAGGCTCAAGTGATCCTCCAGCCTCAGTCTCTGGAGTAGCTGAGACTACAGACACATGTCACTACGACCAGCTAATTTTTTGTTTTTAATTTTTTGTAGAGATGGGGACTCACTTTGTTGCCCAGGCTGGTCTTGAACTCCTAGCCACAAGTGATCCTCCCGCCTTGGCCTCCCAAAGCACTGGAATTACAGGCAGGAGCCACTGTACCCGACCTCATTTCCTCTTTTTCTGGCCTCAAGAGAGTTGGACAGTACTGGTCGTTATGCTCTTAGCAAGACCACAGCATATACCTGGAAGTTGCCATCCAAGCTGCCCCTCCATGCCTGCCTCTTCAAACAGCCATCTCTTACAACATGGGATGTTCCTGACATTGAGTAACAAGGTGACCAAATTGCCCTGCCCTGGCCTACCCTCTCGTTTCATCTCAAGAACAATGTTCAGGGAAAAAAAAGGACTCTTAAAGATGCACAGCTTGCTTCACTTTCAGCCTGTGTGATTCAGGACAGAACACACCTAACCCAATTCATAAACAGTCATTTCCAGAAAGGAAGAACAGGATGCCCGTGTCGTGATGCTACAAGCCTGGTGTGGGGAGGTTCTATTGCAAATTCAATGGTTTTTTTCATAGCTGGATAATAAAGTTCAGTTGTTAAACACATGAGGCAGATTAACTTTATAGGTCTTGGGTTACAAGGATCATAATGGAAGACACTCAAATTACAGCTGATGGAGATGAATCATTTATTAATCTGGGGGTGCGGGTTGTCATGGCTCTGCTTACTATAAGGCCTATTTTTAAGGATACGAGCCTTGAGATTACCTACATTTCTAAAACAGGTTCCTGCTCTGAGTCTACTACCTAAAGAGGAAAGAATGTTTACAAAACAATTCAAAATACTTCTTTAAAAACTTCACCCCCGGGCCAGGCACAGTGGCTTACTCCTGTAATCCCAGCACTTTGGGAGGCCAAGGCGGGTGGATCACTTGAGGCCAGGAGTTCAAAATTAGCCTGGCCAACATAGTGTGAACCCGTTTCTACTAAAAATACAAAAATGAGTCGGGCATGGTGGTGCACGTCTGTAATCCAAGTTTCTCAGGAGGCTGAGGCAGGAGAATCACTTGAACCCAGGATGGGGAGGTTGCAGTGAGCCAAGATTGATTGCGCCACTGCAATCCAGCCTGGGCGACAGAGTAAGGCTCTACCTCAAAAAAAAAAAAAAAAAGAAAGAAAGAAAGAAAGAAAGAGAAAGAAAAAAAGAAAAACTTCACCCTCATGACATGCCAACTATTTGTCCTATAATTGCTCCCGGTTCAGGAAAAAACAGTCTTGAACTAAGAATGATGCAGTTGGGAAAATTCTTTTTTTTTTTTTTTTTTGAGACGGAGTCTCACTCTGTCGCCAGGCTGGAGTGCAGTGGCCTGATCTCGGCTCACTGCAATCTCCAACTTCCAGGTTCAAGCGATTCCCCAGCCTCAGCCTCCCGAGTATCTGAGACTATAGGCAAGCACCACCACACCCAGCTAATTTTTTTTTTTTTGTTTTTTTGTATTTTAGTAGAGACAGGGTTTCACCATGTTGGCCAGGATGGTCTTGATCTCCTGACCTTGTGATCCGCCTGCCTCGGCCTCCCAAAGTGCTGGGATTACAGGTGTGAGCCACCACACTCAACTGGGAAAACTATTATCATTATTTTGAGACTCTCACTCTGTTGCCCAGGCTGGAGTGCAGTGGCGCGATCTCGGCTCACTGCAACCTCCACCTCCCAGGTTCGCACCATTCTCCTGCCTCAGCCTCCTGAGTAGCTTGTGCCACCATGCCTGGCTAATTTTTGTATTTTTAAAAGAGACAAGGTTTCACCATATCTCGAACTTCTGACCTCAAGAGATCTGCCTGCCTGGGCCTCCCAAAGTGCTGGGGTTACAGGCATGAGCCACCGCACTCGGCAAGTTTCCTCATTTTTAAAATGAGGCTCATAATGGACCCTTCTTCAAAGGGTTGCTGTGAGGCTTAAATAAAGTTGTATAAATAAAGGCCTAAGCACAGTTTCTGGTACCTAGTAAGTGCTCAGTGAAAAAGAAGGTATTAGGCTGGGCACCATGGCTCAGGCCTGTAATCCCAGCACTTTGGGAGGCTGTAGCGGACAAATCACCTGAGGTCAGGAGTTCAAGACCAGCCTGGCCAACATGGTGAAACCCCATCTCTACTAAAAATACAAAAATTAACTGGGTGTGGTGGTGTGTGCCTATAATTCCAGCTACTTGGGAGGCTGAGGTAAGATAATTGCTTGAACCTAGGGGGAGGGTGGAGGTTGCAGTGAGCCGAGATCATGCCACTGCACTCCAGCCTTGGTGACAGAGCAAGACTCTGTCTCAAAAATAAAATAAAATAAAATAAAATAAAATAAAAAGAAGGTATTATCATTTATGCTTATTATTATAAATTATATCATCATCACCTTTCCCAACAGACAAAGCTTTTCTTTAGAGAGGAAATCCAGAAAACAATTATTCCAATGATTAAGAAATCAAAGCAGAAGGAGAGGAAGGAAGGGAGGAGGGAGAAAAAGAATTATTGACTCATTGATTGATTGTTAGGGGTAAAATTAGCAGAAATCTCCCCATCATAAAATAATGACTTCAAATGTATTCCAGACCATTAAGACAGAGATCTCAGAAGGGAGTGAAGTAAGGAACTTGGAGGAACAGCAAGGCAGAAAATGAATCATTTCTGAACACAGGGGAAGTGTGAGTCGACTGCCTAACTGCCAGGGTGGAAAGCAGAGGCTTCTAGAAGACCCTGGAGAGGGCTGATCCACTGCAATGACTTTGAAAAGCTCAGATACAGTTAACACTCTAGCAAGAACCACAAAAAAGGCCTCCATATAAGTACCACTGTAAGTACGTAATAAAAGGAGTTAACATTCACTCTGGCAGGTTTTTACTGAAACAATGAAACCTAAGACTAGGACCCAACATTTCCATTCTTTTTTTTTTTTTTTTTTTTTTCTGAGACGGACTCTCGCTCTGTCCCAGGCTGGAGTAGTGGCGTGATCTCGACTCACTGTAACCTCCGCCTCCTGGGTCAAGCGATTCTCCTGCCTCAGCCTTCAGAGTAGCTGGGATTACAGGATTGCGCCACCACACCTGGCCAATTTTTTTTTGTATTTTTAGTAGAGACAGGGTTTTACCATGTTGGCCAGGCTGGTCTCAAACTCCTGACCTCGTGATCTACCCGCTTCGGCCCCCCAAAGTGTTGGGATTACAGGCATGAGCCACTGCGCCCGGCCCCAATATTTCCATTCTAAGAAGCTCATTGAAATAATCACATTGTCATGCCAGCCGGGAACTTCCTATCATTTCCCCTCCTCCCCTACAAGGGACATTTCTGCCCTAGAGACGACTTCCAACGTCTTCCTGTTTCCTGATGTGGTGTTGGTCTCCCCTGTTACAGGGCTAGACCTGCTGTAAAGTCCTGTGGACCACTTCCTACCTTCATGACCTGATCAAATCGCTTCACCTCCCTGCACATTGGTTTCCTCTTCTGGAAAATGGTGCCAAATTCCTCCTAAGTTCATCATGAGGATTAGAAATGAGTTACTGCCTAATTCAATGGCATATCCTGGGAGCCACTCAAAATAGAGATGATGCTAGTTATGATCACGGTCATACGTTATATTTTATAAAGCCCTTTGTCATGAATTCCTCCCATTCCTTTTCACGTGGATATAGGCTGGGCGCCCATGCTGCAGAAGCCCATTGGTGGGTCCTGGGAGGGCCTGACTTCTGCCCCAAGGGATTCACAGTGGAGGGCTGTCCCTCCAAGCATCCCTGTGCAGCAGAGGAGGGGCAAGATGAGTTAGCAAGCAACTGTAGTCTCTCCCCTCCTACTCAATCCTCGTCCTTCTGGCAGCAGAGAGGCCAAACCTCAGGCTCTGACCTCAAGGGCCAGATTTTTCTGAACACAAAGATCTAATCACCACCATCCCAGGACCGGGTGGGCGGGTGCCACTGGTCTGTATGTACTCTGGCCTTTGGACATTATAAAGGAGGCTGCTGGAGCAATTGTCAGACTTAAGCAGCCATGCAGCTGGCTCTGTGCCCTGGCAGTCATTCACCAAGTCAGGCATTGATTTTGGTGCTCCTGCCTGGACTCACCACATCTTTCCAAAGGTAGGATGGATGGCCCTAGACCTTTAGGAAGTGGGCCTTTTGCCACACAGCTGTTGGGAAACGGAGCTGCCAAAAAGAAGCCACCTCGGGGCCTCTCAAGCTCAGGCTGGCTCAGATGGATGCCAGTCTCCGTGTTTCCTTCCACTCATCTGTCCACGGTGTTCAGGGCATGGATGTCAGAGGAAGAGAATCAGACTCAAAGTGACTTCTCCCCTCTGAGCCTCAAAAACAGCCGACTCATGGGCTGTTACACACATGGACAGAAAAACACAATAGGGCCCTCCATAGCCCTCCTTCCAGATTGTTCTCTGGCCAGGTGGGATCAAGAGTGGGACCCACCAGCACGGCACCAGCACACAGCAGGTGTTCCTGAAGGCTAAAAAAGCCTCACTTACTACTTGCAAATGCATCTCCGAAGTCTGCCAGCAGTTTCAAAATTGTACAGCCATTGCAGAAAGTGTCTCTCTGGCTTCTTCCTCCAACAAGACATTATTTGTTTCATCTTCTCAGGGTCCCTCCCAGGCACACAATCTAAATCACATTCCACTAGAATCCAGCTCTCAACAGTCAATCAAAATGATAACTCACCTGCTATATTAGGAGGGTTAATACAGTTTCTTGTCTTTCTTGGGATATTCTTCACCAACCTTGTCCAACCCGCAGACCGCAGGCTGCATGTGGCCCAGGACCGCTTTGAATGTGGCCCAATACAAATTCATAAACTTTCTTAAAACATTATGAGATTTGAGTTTTGTTTTGTTTTGTTTTGGTTTTTAGCTCCTCAGCTATCATTAGCGTTAGTGTATTTCATGTGTGGCCCAAGACAATTCTTCCAGTGTGGCCCTGGGAATCCAAAAAATTGTACACCCCTGTTCTATACAAAACCAAAAATAAACAGGTATTAGCATTAACTTTAAATTTAAAAAAAAAAAAGCAGAAAATATTGTAAGGCTGTGGTAGGTGGTCCCAAATCTCAGAGGATGCTTGTTGCAGTGGGGGAGCTTCTAACTCACAGATCAAGGGGTACAGGTGGGGCTGGTTCCCAGTTAGCCTGATGTCCCAGATGAAGGAAAAGCCAGAGCTGAGGCTGGGCGCGGTAGCTCACGCCTGTAATCCCAGCACTTTGGGAGGCTGACGTGGGTGGATCATGAGGTCAGGAGTTCAAGACCAGCCTAGCCAGCATGGTGAAACCCTGTCTCTAGTGAAAATACAAAAAATTAGCCGGGCATGGTGGTGCACATCTGTAATCCCAGCTACTGGGGAGGCTGAGCCAGGAGAATCACTTGAACCCAGGACGCAGAGGTTGCAGTGAGCCGAGATCGTGCCACTGCACTCCAGCCTGGGCAATAGAGCAAGACTCTGTCTCAAAAAAAAAAAAAAAAAAAAAAAGCAAGAGTTGAGCGCCGTGGCACACGCCTATAATCCCAACTACTTATGAGGCTGAGGCAGGAGGATCACTTGAGCCCAGGAGCTGGAGGCTGCAGTGAGCTGTGATCACCCCACTGCATGCCAGTCTGGGCGATGAAGCAAGACCTTGTCTCTTAAACAAAACACACACACACACACACACACAACCAGCCAACTTGTTTGGGGCTTTTCCCACAAGACGATTTCAACACTCCAGTCATTTTCTAATTTACATTCAAATAAACAGGAGTTATGGACCAGCTTGGCGGGCTGTTTATGAGTTACACACCTCAGAGCAAACCTGCATGTCTGGTCTGTGGCACCCACACCACTTGTCATGTGGACAAGTCACCATGGTGCCAGCAGAACCACTGGAATTCCTCAAGTACCCAACCAGGCTGGCTCCACTGGGGGTCTTCTCCTTTGCCAGAGAGAAAGCCAGGACAGCAGGCATGACAGCAAGAGCACCACATAAGGAGTCCAGAGGACTGAGTTCTAGTCTGGTGCATAAGGTGTCCAGAGGCCCAAGTTCTAGTCTGGCTTTACTGGTCACTCACTGGCTGTGTGACCCTGAGCAAGTCACCTAACCTCTCTGGCCTCGGTTTCTTTGGCTGTAAAACAAGATAAATCTCTGATTCTAGGCTGCCACTGCCACCCTCCCCCAAAATGGAACAAGCACTGAACCAAAAGTGATGGAAAACCACTCTTTCTGGGTTCACTCTAGGACTATTTAATGCGTGCCGGATACCTAGAAGGCCACATTCCACAGACATCCATTTAATTAAGGTAAGAGGCATGAAGAAAAATCAACCCCAGAATTTGGATCTCAAGAACCGAGAGGTAATGAAGAATCATTACCTTCAGCTCTTCCATCTCTAGACTCTCCCTAAACAGTGAGAGCAAATAGGTATCATCTCATGCAGCACTCTAACTGACCTGGAGTGGCTGTGTTAATAAAGATGCCGAGGCTGTGTTTAGGCTCAAAGGGGAAAACAGCATCATGATTGATTAATGATGTCTGCCACAAGTACAGGCTATGAGGGGGTTATGTATTTTAATTTAGTCATGTATCTTATTTTAGTTTAGTTTAGTTGATTTATTTTGAGACGGAGTCTCACTCTGCTGCCCAGGCTGAAGTACAGTGGTGCAATCTCAGCTCACTGCAACCTCCGCCTCCCAGGTTCAAGGGATTCTTCTGCCTCAGCCTCCCGAGTAGTTGGGATTACAGGAGAATGCTAACATGCCCGACCAATTTTTTTTGTATTTTTAGTAGAGACGGAGTTTCTCCATGTTGGTCAGGCTGGTTTCCAACTCCTGACCTCAGGTGATCTGCCCGCCTCAGCCTCCCAAAGTGTTGGGATTACAGGAGTGAGCCACCATGCCTGGCCTACTCATCTATTTTAATTTGGAAAGAGAGAGAAGGGCCCAGCATCTTCAACAAGAACCCAGAAGAATGAGAATGGAATGAAAAGCAGTCATTCAGCGAAAAGTACTAGCACCGAGTGTTACACATTGAAATAACTCAGAGTCACAGAATATGATAGGGTCCATGGGAGTCTAAGAGAGTTAGGAGAGACATTCTGGATAAGGTAACTCCTTAAGGATAAGTAGAACCCAAACAGGCAAAAGGAGGGAGGTGGGCTGAAGAGTAGAGTGGTCCAGCAGGCAGAGGGGCTGATGTGGGGAAGCTCTGGAGGCAAGAGTATGACAATACTGCCATGTGTGGGGCTACAAACCATTCACAAAGGCTAAAGCACAGGTTTCAAGCTGGGATGAAAGGGAACCACAGAGGCTTCTAGACAGGGAATGTCAAGAACTAGATGATACCTAAGTCTCCATGCCCCTGCCCTCCCATTGTTAATGCTTTAGAACAGCCACAAAATTGACCTTCAAAATGAGAAAGGAGACCTCCCAGAAGTCAGTCTTGCAAACTGATCAGTCAGGAAAGATCTGATTACTGGGTCAAGGTAGAGAGAGAAGATAAACAAAGGGCTGGCCTCTAAGTGGATGTAGTAAAACCTGTACAACTGGGAGATTCCAATTGGAGATAAGGAGGAAGGGCAGGCCCAAGATATGGATGCGCTAAATCAGGCAGGCAAGAGGCTGGCCCGCAGCCAGCGCCCACTGAAGCAAGCCCAACTAATGCTGTCACAAACCACACCTAACAAAGGTTTAAGAAATGTGGCTGCTCTAACAGGTTAAAGCACTCTTCAACTCAGCAGTTTCACTTCTAAAAATGAGAAATAACCAAAGGAGTGCACAAATAATTGAATATAAGGATGTTCACTGCAGCACTGTCTACCAGAGCCCGACATAAGAAGCAATGTGAATGTCCAACAGTAGGGGCTTGGTTTAATAAATTATACCACATTGAGATGATACAATCGGCCAGGTGCAGTGGCTCACACCTGTAATCCCAGCCCTTTGGGAGGCTGAGGCGGACAGATCACTTGAGGTCAGGAGTTCAAGAACAGCCTGGCCGAAATGGTAAAACCCCATCTCTACTAAAAATACAGAAATTAGCTGGGCATAGAGTCATGTGCCTGTAATCCCAGCTACTTGGGAGGCCGAGGCATGAGGATCACTTGAACCCAGGAGGTGGAGGTTGCTATGAGCCGAGATCATGCCACTGCACTCCAGCCTGGGCAATATAACAAGATCCCCATCTCTACAAAAACAAAAATTTAAAAATTAGCTAAGCATGGTGGCACATGCCTGTAGTTCTAGCTGCTCAGGAAGCTGAAGTGGGAAGATTGCTTGAGCTCAGGAGTTCACATCACTGCACCACTCCAGCCTGGGTGACATGGCAAGACAGAAAGAAAGAAAAACAGAGAAGAAAGAAAGAGGGAGGGAGGGAAGAAAGGAAGAAAAGAAAGGAAAGGAAGGAAGGAAAGAGAAAGAGGAAGGAAGGGAGGAAGAGAGGAAGGGAAGAAGGGAGGAAGGGAGGGGGAGGGAGGGAAGAAAAGAAAGAAGGAAAGGAAGGAAAGAAAGAGGAAGGAAGGAAGGAAAAGGAAGAAAGAAAAGGAAAGACAGAAAAGGACTGACATGAAAAGATGGTTATGCTATATTGTTGGGTAGAAAAAGCAGGTTATACTTATTTGTTTATTTATTTATTTGAGACAGGGTCTCACTCTGTCAACCAGTAATGAGCAAGAAATAGGCTTTATGTAGATTTTCTTTCTTTCTTTCTTTTTTTGAGACAGGATCTTGCTGTGTCACCCAAACTGGAGTACAGTGGCATAATCTCAGCTCACTGCAACTTAGGCGTCCCAAGCTCAAGTGATCCTCCCACCTCAGCCTCCTGCGTAGCTGGAACTACAGGTGTGCACCTCAACACCCAGCTAATTTTCTGTACTTTTGGTAGAGACAGGGTTTCGCCATGTTGCCCAGGCTGGTCTCAAACTCCTGACCTCAAGAGATCCGCCCACCTTGGCCTCCCAAAGTACTGGGATTACAGGCGTGAGCCACCGCACCAGCCCATACTTTTTTTTCCCCAAAAAGACCGATGTAAATGAGTTTGGAAGGAAAATATTCTGAAATCCCAGCAGAGATTCTTTCTTCAAAACTCTACCTCAAATGTTGTCAGACAATTGAATGAACTAATCTACATAGAGTACTTAGCACATAGTAAGGGCTCAGTGAGTGACGGGGAAATTTTTATATATCATTTGTATTTGCTCAGTTTTCCTCCAATTGACAGATCTTCCTTGCAGAATTAAATACTTTTTAAAAACACAGCTTTTGGCTCTGAGTCATATTTATATCTAGAGCTATGGTTCTCAGAGGTGATTTTGCCTCCCTGGGGATAGTTTAGGTTGTCACAATCTGGGGAGGGGGTGCTACTGGCGTCTGGTAGGTAGAGGCCGGGAATGCTGCTAAACATCTTACAATGCACAGGACAGCCCCACCACCACAAAGAATGAGCCAGCCCCAAATGTTGGCAAGTGCCATGGTGGAAAATCCCTGACTTGGAGGAAACTGTAGCTGCAAGGCGTTTCACACTCCTGGTGTCCCTCACCCCAGAGCAGCTCCATTCAAGAGACACACACACCACCCAGATCATCCCGGTGACCAGACGCTCCCAAGATCTAGAAAAAGCCCCTGCATCACAGCCGACAAATGATCTTGATCAGACGTCCCAGAGAAAAGTCACTCGTGGAAGAATCCTCCTAAAGCTTAAGTCTTCAACCTTCAGGAGCAATTCTCCTCCCCCCACAGAAGAGAATAATGGTTCAAACGAACTATCACTTTTTTTTTCTTTAGAGTCCTAAGAATCAGCCTCTTTGGTGAACAGTAAACAGCTCTGGTGGGCAGAGGGCCCTGTGGTGGTTAACCCATTGTGGACCAACCCCACTGCGGCTTCTGTATAAATGGTACTTCTGTCAACAGATGTGACACCCCACAGCACAGGGATTGCAACAAAGACAAGGGTCCTTTGAGACCAAGGAAAGGGAGGAGGAGATGCTCTTTAGCCCTGGCACCAGATGACTGCTGGCTCTGGCTTGCCACCTCCCTCTTTCCTCCAAAACCAGCCAGATAATTGCATCAAATGATGATACCCCCAAATACAGAACGGATGTGCAACCTCGCTGAAAATAAGGAAAGAAAAAGCCACAGAGTTTAACCTGGGATTTCTCCACCTTTGACACTGCTCATGTTTGGGGCTGGATCATTCTTTGTTGTGGCAGGACTGTTCTGTGCACTGTAGGATACTGAGCAGCTCCCTGGCCTCTACTCACAAGACACCCCGTGCCCCATCCCCCAACTCAGTTGCAACAAAAATGCCTCCAGGCATTGTCAGATGTACCCTAAGGGGCAAAACTGCCCTCAGTTGAGAACCACTGGCTTAAATGGATTCTGAATCCCTGTCCAGGGCAAGCTGGCTCTGACTTGGAACTATTCCTGCAACCAAAGAGGAAACAAGCAAGCAAAAAAAAAACAACAACAACCAACAACATCACAAAATTAAACAACTTTTCAATGCTAGAGCTGGTTCGCTCCCAAGCCCCCACCTGGAGAGTCAGTATTATCTCAAGACTGTGACACTGATAATAAGAAAGTTTTGTGCATTCAGCAGTATTGACTGAGCATCTGCTATGTGCCAGGCACTGTTCTGGGCACTGAGGACACAGAGTGGATGTAAAAAACCAAGCCCTTGCTCTCAGGTTGCTTACCCAGGTCTGGGAATCATACACACCAGACAATTGCACTCCCTCAAACACCGATTAATCACTCTAGCAAGGAACCAAAACTGGATTCAGGAACTTAAAACCACACCCCCTACAGCGAAGACCTATTTGGCACTTACGGCCTCGGTACTTTACACACACCACCTCATCGACTCCTCACAGCTGCCCTAGGAGATCAGCATCCCCGTTTCACAGCTGGGGACACTGAGGCTCACGAGGTGAAGGAGGGGAACTATAGCCTCCAGGTAACCACAACCATCCCAGAGCTCAGGACACTGTGGGAACTACCACCCCTAACAAGCCTTCTTTGCCCACTAAGTCGGACTGTCTTAAGATCTCCTGTCTTTGGGTTTCAGGTGGACTCTGCCCTGGGGGCTGGTATTTTCCTGCAAGGCCACCAAGTGAACCAGCAGGACAGGACAGAGCCCACATGGAGAAGGAGAATAGAGGCTCAGGTTGCACCCTTTACCCGGGACCCAAAAGGCAAAGGGCAGGGGCAGTGGTGCTGGCTTCTAGTTCCCATTTTCCATCTGGGGCCTTGGCTGGACTGGGCTAGGCTGAGGGAGTGCGGGAAGAGGGTCTGAAAGTGGACCGCCTTCCCAATGCGCCCAGGAACTTCCACACGACATACAGGGGAGGGGCTTCCTCTCGTAGAGCCCAAACTGAGGGAGGAATTGGTGCCAAGCTCTGTATGTCTGATGTCACCTCACAAAACAGCTCCCCCGACAACCCTCACCCCTGTCCTAAAAGGAGGAAAAACTTTAGGTGGTTTCCCCTAGAAAGAGGCCCTGGAATTTTGCAACTCCATCTTCAAAACCCTCTCCTTGTCCCCGCCTCACCAGGCTTCCTACCCTTGGAGGGGGAGATGGGAGTCTTTGATCTGGAATGGGCGAATTCTGAGGGAAGAAGGAAGGGTTTGTAGGTCCCATGAGGGAGAGGCTGGAAGCGTTCAAAGAGAAGGCTTATGAAATGGGGGGATTCATTGTAAGGGGAGCGAGTTGAGAGCCATCAGAAAGCGCCAGGGATGAAGGACTTTGGGGAAGAAGGGGCAGGAGGCTTTGGGGGAGATGGTGGATTACAGAATGCCTAAGGGAGATGGAAGATCATCCGTGTTGGGGGCACGGATGATCAGGGGGCATTTGGGGGATATGTAGGACTGTGAGGTGTCTAGGGAGAGGGAGGATTTGGGGAGGACAGGCAGGATGTGACATGTTTAGAGCGGAGAGGACTTGGGAGTGGTCCGGGAAAGGGAGAATTTAGGGTGAGTGGAGGGAAAGAGGATCTTGGGTGCCTGGGGAAACAGTACTTAGGGGTGTCTAGGGCAGAGATGGTTAGGGGATGCTCGGGGGAAGGAGGATTCGGGTGCGCGTGGGGCTGCGGGCCGCCTCCCCCCTCCATTCCGGCTCACCGAAGAAGGGCGGCAGGTGGGACACCGCCTCGAGGAAGGGCCCGGTCTCGATCTGCTTGTCCGCGGGCAGCGGCTTCAGCAAGTGTTCGGCCAGCAGCGCCATTTCGGGGTCGAGGCCCGCGGTGATGCCCCAGCCGGCGCCGCGGGCGTCGACACCGCCCCCCCGGCCGCCGCCGTCAGCGCCGGGGCCGTCACAGCCGCCCGCCGCAGGCTCCGGGGACGCCAGCGTCGCCACTTCCGCCCGCACGGCGCCCTCGTAGCCGAGCGCTCAGCGCCGCCCGCCGGCCGAGCGCCTAAACTGCCGGGCGCGCCGCCCCGCCCCCGCTCACCGGCTCCCAATCCGCGCCCGCCGCCGAGGTCTCCGCGCCCCCATTGGCCGGGGGGCCGGCCGGGGGCGGGACGCAGAGGAGGTGCGCCGGTTCATGGGTCCCGGAGGGCCCAAGTGAGCCGCTCCCAGGTGAGTCTTCCCCAGGTGTGCCTCCCGCCGCCCCCGGTTTGGCCCCCCAATCCGGGCGGGCCGACTCGGGCCAGGTCACAGCTCACAACCCGCCCACCAGCTCGGGTTACAGCCCCACCCAGCCAACGCTCCCCAGGACCCCCGTTTCCCCCAAAATTGTACCCCAGTAACCCCAAGTGACCTGGGTGGACACTGCTCTCCTGTTGGTCACGGTTCTCTTTCGCTACAACCGACGAGGACGCTCGATTGCTTGATTCTTGGTCTTCAATGACCTTATACCTGTTGAACACTGCTGAAGTCACAGTCTAACTCAGCCACTGCCCTGCTGGACAACTCCTGCTTCCCGAAATCTGGGGTCCAGTCTGCCCTCAACAGTCTGATGTTACCTGTTGTGAGGCAGAAAAATAGGGCCTGGAGGCAGGGAACATAAGGCTGACTTCCTAGACCTAAATCAAAAAGCACCTTAGCAATGACAGGAATGTAAACGGCTTTGCAACTTCACTTCATCCTCTCCATTCACGCCCTTTACACTTTGTAACTTCACATTCATCCTCTCCATTTACACAGACCACACACTCCAAGAAACATCCTCTCCATTTATACTTTGTAACTTCACATTCATCCTCTCCCACCAAGTAACATCCTCTCCATTTGCACATCCTCTCCATTTGCAATAGGGCACATTCTGAGTAAATGACTCTGTGACTTCACTTCATTCTCTTCATTTACATAGAATATTCACCAAGTAACCAATGGGAAACCTCTAGAGTATTGAGACCCTAGAAAATTCTGTAAGCAGAGCTCTTGAGCCTCTACGCTCAAGCCTGCTCCCAAACTGTGGGGTGGACTTTTCGTTCTCAGTAAATCCTTGCTTTTGCTTTCCTTGCTTCGTTTGTGTGTTTTCTCCAAGATGCCAAGTACCTGGACACCTTCTACTGGTAACAGCTGGAGCCAGCCCAGTTTATACCAATTCACCCACAACCTGGACACTTGTTTCCCAAACCTAATGTCTCTCCAACAGCCCAGGGTCCAGCTTCTCACACCTTGAATCACAAGTCATCTCAGCCACAACCCACCTAGATGCTTATGTCCTAAACCCAATGCCCAGCTTATGCAAAAATCTAACACACCATTGTTGAGAGCCTCTTATTCATTCCAGAATAAACATTTGCCATCCTTCCCACCCCTCCCCCACCCTCCACCACTATGTGTCATGCACTGCACTGGGCACTGAGGATAAAGTGAATGATACAGCAAAATCCCTGCCCTTGTGGAGCTGACAATCTGGTTGGGAACACAACACAATGCAATACACAAATTGGTAAGACAACTTCAGACACTGATGAGTATGTGAAGAAAATAAAACAGTGTAGTGACGGAGGATGACTGAAGCCTGTTGGCTGAGATCGGATGTAGGGGTTTGGGAGCAGTACCTCTGAAGAGGTGATATTTGAGCTGAGACCTAGAGGAGAAGTAGGATAGAGCCAGGTCAAAGACTTGGGGTGTGAGTCTGGCCAACATGGTGAAACCCCATCTCTACTAACAAATACAAAAGTTAGCTGGGTGTGGTGGCAGGAGCCTGTAATCCCAGCTACTCAGGAGGCTGAGGCAGGGAGAATTGCTTGAACCAGGGAGGTGGAGGTTGCAGTGAGCCAAGACCGTGCCATTGCACTCCAGCCAGAGCGAGCGAGACTCCGTCTAAAAAAAAAAAAAAAAAAAGACTTGGGGTGTGAGGCACATGAGCAAAAGCCTTAAGGTAACAAAGAGCTTAGTGTGGTGCAAGGAATCGGGGGGCCAGGGGAGGAAATGGGAATGGGTAAGTGAGGGCAAGAGTGAGTAGGGTGATAGGAGTTGAGGTCAGGGAGGTGGGCAGAGGCTGGAGTATATTGGGGCAGGAAGGGAGTGGTGAAGAGTTTGGATTTTTTTTTTTTTTTTTTTTTTTTTGAGATGGAGTCTCACTCTGTCGCCCAGGCTGGAGTACAGTGGTGGTGCAATCTCGGCTCACTGCAACCTCCGCCTCCCGGGTTCAGGCAATTCTCTGCCTCAGCCTCCCAAGTAGCTGGGATTACAGGCATTTGCCACCACGCCTGGCTAATTTTTTTGTATTTTTAGTAGAGATGGGGTTTCACCATGTTGGCCAGGCTGGTCTCAAACTCCTGACCTTGTGATCCGCCCGCCTCAGCCTCCCAAAGTGCTGGGATTACAGGTGTGAACCACCGCGCCTGGCCAAGAGTTTGGATTTCATGTTAAAGGCAATAAGAAATCACTAGTGCATTTCTGCTGAATCTTATAGAATGTTTTCTTTTTTTTTTCTTTTTTTTTTTTTGAGAGACAGGATCTCACTCTGTAGCCAAGGCTAGAGTGGTGTGATCACAGCTCCCTGCAGCCTCAACCTTCTGGGCTCAAGGGATTCTCCCGCCTCAGTCTCTCAAGTACCTGGGACTACAGGAACATGCCAACATGCTACCCTATTTTTTTTTTTTTTTTGGTAAAGATGGTGTCTTGCTATGTTTCCCAGCCTGCTTTTAAACCCGTGGGCTCAAGCGATCCTCCCACCTTGGCTTCCCAAAGTGCTAGGATTATAGGTGTGAACCACTGTGCCCAGCCTGAATGTTTTAATCTTTCAGAGGGCAGGTGAGAGAAGAGGTTGTTTCAAACCATGACCCAGGTAGAATCAGGAAGTGAGAGGGGCTGGGGAAGATAAAGCTAACATCAACTCTTGCTCATACCCAGACCCTGACATGCTCCATCAAGTCAGATCTCCTACTGATAGGATCCCAAGCCATCAACTAGGCTTGTTCCCACCCCACCCAACCTCACTACCTCGAGCATCCTATGATACCATCTCCTTGAAGCCTCACTGCCCCGCCCCGCACCCTGTCCTAGTGCCAGAACCCCACCCACCTGTCAGACGCCTCTATCAATTCCACACAGAGATTGCACCCTATGTGGGGACCTCTGGCATCAGACAACACCCTGATTTCTCAACACTTTCCATTCCAAACAAACCATTCAGACACTATGGCTGATTCAAGAAGCACCTTGCCATAGAACATAGGCTTGATGCACTGAGATAGGTCATTGCTCTGAGATAATGCAGCATCTTGAAAGTTCATCCATCCATTCATCTACCCCTTCATCAATCCAAAAAATATGATTAGTGCCTGGCCTAGGGTGGATTTTTGCTTTCCCATAGCTTGTGACAGGGGCCAGGCTAGTAGCATAAATGGGTGCTGTGGGCTGAGTGTCACACAATGAGGAGTGGTGGAGACTTTGGAGAACTGGGGGCCACATAGCCCATCAAAAGGGCACTATTAGTCATGCATCATGGCAAGTGCTTGTAGTCCCAGCTATGTGGAAGGCTGAAGTGGGAGGACCCCTTGATCCCAGGAGTTGGAGGCTGCAGTGAGGTGATTGTGCTACTGCTCTCCAGCCTGGGTAACAAAATGAGAAAAAATCTTTTTTTTTTCTTTTTTTTGAGAAGGAGTCTCACTCTGTCACCCAGGCTGGAGTGCAGTGGTGCAATCTCAGCTCACTACAAGCTCCGCCTTCCGGGTTCACGCCATTCTCCTGCCTCAGCCTCCCGAGTAGCTGGGACTACAGGCGCCCGCCACCACACCCGGCTAATTTGTTTGATTTTTA